>NT_187602.1:0-300000 GCF_000001405.40 Homo sapiens | reverse complement strand
TACTATGCAGCCATAAAAAATGTTTGAGTTCATGTCCTTTGTAGGGACATGGATGAAGCTGGAAACCATCATTCTCAGCAAACTATCTCAAGGACAAAAAAACAAACACCGCATGTTCTCACTCGTAGGTGGGAATTGAACAATGAGAACACTTGGACACAGGAAGGGGAACATCACACACCGGGGCCTGTTGTGGGGTGGGGAGAGGAGGGAGGGATAGCTTTAGGAGATATACCTAATGTAAATGACGAGTTAATGGGTGCAGCACACCAACATGGCACATGCATACATATGTAACAAACCTGCACATTGTGCACATGTACCCTAGAACTTAAAGTATAATAAAAAATACATATAAATAAAAAATAAATAAATAAAAAATTTAAAAAAGTCACCACTTAACATAAACTTCTTTACTTAACCTGATCACCTGCCAACACTCTGAAATTTTCATATTTTTAACTAAGGCACAAAAATTAGGGGGATAGGAAAGAGAGGTGTTTGTGATGTTGTCTCCAATATGTTGAAGAGAAAGTTAATGATTTGACTAAAAATATCCAGTCTACATTAGACTTCATATTCAAGTTTTTTCTGTGAACATATACCTCTTTTATTATTTGTTAAATTTTATTTCTAATGAACACATGATAATTATATATTTATGGGATACAATGTGATGTTTTGATAATCATTTACATTGTGAAATGATTAAATCAAGCTAATTAATAAATTCATCATCTCCTATACTTATTTTTTGTGGTTAAAACATTTGAAATCCACTCTTTTAGTAGTTTCTAAATATGTGGTGCATTATTATTTATTATAGTCACCATTCTATGAAACAGATCACTAAATCTTATTCCTTCCATCAAACTGAATTGTTGTATCCTTTGATCACCATCTCTCCTCCCCTCAGCCGCCTCTTCCCTCCAGCCTTAGTTAACCACCATTCTACTCTCTACTTTTAAGAGTTCAACTGAATGAAGTATCACCTCATATCTGTTAGAATGGCTATCACCAAAAAGATGAAAGATAAGTATTGCTGAGGGTGCAGAGAAAAGTAAACATTTGTGCACTGTTGGTGGAAATGTAAATTAATATAACCGTGGAAAACAGTATAGAAGTTCCACAAAACACTTAAAATAGAATTACCATATGATTAAGCAATTTCCCTTCTGGGCATATATCCAAAGAAATTGAAATCAATATGTCAAAGAGATATCTGTACTTCCAAATTCATTGCAGCATTATTCACAATAACCAAGACACGGAAGCAACCTAGGTATTTGTCATCAGATGAGTAGATACACAAAATGTGATATATACACACAGTGGAATACTATTTGGCCCTTAAAAAATAGAGAAATTCTTCCATTAGTGACGATGTGGATGAACCTGTAGAACATTATGCTAAGTGAAAAAAATCCAGACACACACAGACATCTTAAAACCCTCTTCCAAGTTATTTTGACTTTTGGAATATTTTCTTCAATAAAATATGTTAAGGGATAAAGCTTCATAGACCACTGTGGAGCTAAGGGAGAATTCAGAGCAACCTGCAATGCCAAAGCGTTAGTTCTTCTTGCCCTCTGCAGATTGTAGAGACTATACCCACCTGAGATAACTCTATTAGAGTATAATTCTGCCAGTGTTCTCACTTACATCCAATAAAAGCTGACTCTAGCTGATTATGTAAATGAAAAAGGACTTATTGATGGAGTAGCAGGAATCTCACAGAACCAATGAAAGCTAAAGAGCCAAAGTTGAGGCTCAAATTCAAAGATACATATGCAAACCACCATGCAGAACTGATGATGAAAAATCATGACTGCAGTCATGGCTGTGCTATAGGCCACCAAGATGCTACATGAGCACCACTGTCATTCTGTTCTAGGAACTTGTCTTTTCTGCAACAAGTGTGCTACCTTTTTTTTTTTTTTTTTTTTTTTAATTGAGACGGAGTCTTGCTCCGTCTCAGGCTGGAGTGTAGCGGTGCGATCTCGGCTCACTGCAAGCTCCGCCTCCCAGTTCACACCTTTCTCCTGCCTCAGCCTCCTGAGTAGCTGGGACTACGGGTGCCAGCCACCACGCCCGGCTAATTTTTTTGTATTTTTACTAGAGACGGGGTTTCGCCGTGTTAGCCAGGATGGTCTTGGTCTCTTGACTTCGTGATCCGCCCACCTTGGCCTCCCAAAGTGCTGGGATTACAGGCGCAAGCCACTGCGCCCAGCCTGTTCATTGTCATTTCTTATGCCAATATTTCAACATTGTTGCTCTTCCTACTTCTGCTTCTTGATTCAAAGCCTGGTATAGCTGTATCTGGTAAAGGCAAGAGTACATTCCTACAACTTTAAGTGCAAGGGAAGCTAGGAGAGCTAATATCTGGCAATATAAACAACAATTACATAAATAGAAGCTCCAAGCCTGATAATATTGGGATTACCTCAAACATAAAAAGGGATGGAGATACTGGACAGCAAACACACACACACACACACACACACACACACACAGAGAGCGAGAGAGAGAGAGAAATAACTCAAACAACCCATTCATTTTGACTATTCCATATCTCTGAGCTATGTTTCCTCTAGAGATTACACAGGGTGGAAATCAAATTATCCACCTATGCAACAGCAGTGAAAGGGGAGCAGGATGAGTAAGGGGTAAAACACTGTCTCGGGTAGTTGAGGACTTGTCTATCTCATGATGAATGCTGTTAGAAGATACTGTGCTGCTTATAAGTTACTACTGCATTATCTGGAGTTCTGAGAGAAAAAGTTAAACTAAAGGTAAATAAATTATCATCTGGAAAATCTCTGTAAGCTGCAGTGAGATTTAGTGTTGTGCACTTGCCTTTCATCCTTCTTAGAACTAGTGAAGAATGGATATAGAGGATTCTTCACTTACTCTTTCTCTTTAAGCCAAAAATTCTTAGACTTGGGGGAGGGGGCCAACGAACCATAATTAACTGAATAACTAAAATCCTCACTTGTATCTAAGCTCTCATTGTGCTTGAAAAAGATGTTCATATATAAAATTGAAATATTTTAAAGTATGTTTTTAGTCTAAATGTGTACATAAAAACATAAAAGTTTTACTAACTGGGGCTTGCTTAGCTACACTGAAATGAATTGTATTCCATTTTGTCTACTTTTTAATTATACAAATAAATCATATATTTTATAGTGAATAGTCGTTGTAAAGAAAAAAACTATAAAATAGTGAAAATTTTCACATCTCCACACCTCTACACACACACATGCCTCCTCAGCAACGTGTTTAGTTTGGTGGATGTATTTCTAAGTCCTCTTTCTGTACATATAGAAGCAAAATCTCTGGGTTTTGAGTGGGTATATAAATTGGATTATACCTAAGTATTGTTCTACAACTGATTGACCCTCCCAACCACTCTGTACTCTCACCTAAACAGCAATGTCTGAAAGGGAAATTTTAGCCAGCTCTGCAGGTACTTCTGTCAGTTTGGGACAAATCAGGACAAACAGACTGAAGATACAATTCTTCAGGAAAGACTTTCCCAGGAGATGGAGCATGGATGTGTAAGGTCACTAGTTCCAACATGTAGCACACTCAGTGGGTTCTTTCCCCTGCCAAAATCAGGATTTCAATTAGGAAAATACGTGAAATAAGAGCATGCTTGTTCTCTCCAGGCAAAGAAACTTCATTCTGAAAAATAAAGTCAATTTAGTATTTGTTTAACCTCAATATTATTTGAGGTCTGTATTTAGTCCTTAGACCTCTCTTTAACCTGTACTGTCCAATACAATAGCCACGACCCACATGTGGTTACTGAGCACCTGCAAAGTGACTAGTCCTAATTAAGATGTGCTCCAAGTATAAAATCAAATACCAGTTTTGAACACTTGGTGGGATGAAAGAATGTAAACATCTCATTAATAGTGTTTATACTAATTCCATGTTGAAATACTATTTTGGGTGAGTTGGGTTAAATAAAAATATTATTAAAAATTTCACGGCTGCTCTTCAGCAAGGTGGAGTGGGCGCGCCACATGCCCTTCTTCCCCAAGCTGCCGGTGGCCGACCAGGTGGCTTCGCTCTGAACGCGGGTTAGGTGGCATTGTCCCTGCACACTGCTGCCATTTTTCAATGGTGCATCTTCAGGCACATTTTTAAACCAAACTTCTTGCCTTTCTTGATAGCCACCATTTGGATTTGGATCTCTAAGTGTACTTGTTAGAGCATTTCCACACTCATTTTGATGATTGCCTTGCTTTCCTGCTCACCGTAAACTTGAAATAGGAAGGACAGAACTCCCTCACTTCCTATAGGTCTCCTCAAAATTTAGCTTAAATGAAGCCTTCCCAGACTATTCTATTTAAAAGAGCATCCCCACTCTCACTAGTATCTATTCCCATCATCTGCTTTGCCCTTCTTCAAAGAATGTATCACCACAGGAAATATTGTATCCTACATATTTATTTCTCTATTTCTTGATCCCTGTCTTCCCATACTGTAATATAAACTGCATGGGAATAGGTATCACTGCTATAGCTTCAGTGCTCAGATAATGCCTAATACATAATAGGAGCTCAATAAATGTTTGTCGAATAACCTTGTTAACTCAATAATTGAGCTATTACTATTGCAGAAGCCATTCAGGAGCAGTAAAAAGATCATATTTCCTGCCCTAAAGAAACTTATATTCTAACTGGTAGGAAAGTAAAAAATAGCACAAACAATGCTGTAATAGATACCCAAAAGGCAGACCAATTTTGAGTAAATATTTGGCAAAACTCAAAAGGCAATGAACTTAGAAAATAACATTATGATATACTGTAGTGGGCAAGGAAAGTTTCGTATGAGGCATCTAAACATGGGCAAGGTATGAATAGAACAATTTTAAGCTCAGGTTGTAAAACTAAGATTATACTCTGTGAATTAGAGAGAGTGAGTCAAATGGGAGTGATGAGACATATATTAAGGTAAAAATAAAGTTTAAGAAGAAATTCAGAACCTAAAAACATTTACAAGCTAAAGAATTTGGGTTTTTTTCCTGTGTTTAGGTAGAGAGAAAATAAGTGATGGAGGTTCAAGAACATAATTCTGGAATTTGACATGGGAGATAACAGAGACAGACCATTTATGAAGTGATTATGCCATCACAGATATGGAGTGCTAGGAACCTGCACAGAAAAGACGAGCGTAAAGATGACAAATGATCCCAGGGAAGATGCCTAATCTGTTTAATGACAGATTAGAAGTGGGAATGAGATGGTAAGGAATTCTACTGTCAAGATTTCAAGTTCATGCTATAAATCAACAGATCCATGAGAAAATAAGGATGGCTAGAGCTAACTTAAAAGGAGATTAACAAATTTAGGATTAGACATTTGAATTTGAAATAGATCGTCATGTAAAAATATCCAGCAGAATGCTGCAAATATTTAACTACGCTTTGGTAGTAAAGTCAGTGCTGGAGTTACCCCAGAATCAAGATTTAGCACAAGATTTCCTCATGGAGTGCAGTACTGCAAATTAATAAATTGCTACTCAAAAAAATAAATTAGAGGGTAGAACTTACCCGAGGAACACTTTTCCAGAGTTTAATGAAGAACTACACACACAAAAAAAGTGCTTAGTAGGCCTAGATTGTCAGTGATCTCACAGATTCTATGGCTCTTTGGTTTGCACTGGGCATCACCTGACCTTCTTGTGTCTACATATGCCAAAGTGTTAGCATTGGCAAAATGTGAGGTGTCAATCAAGTCAACATAATATTATTGAAGGCCCTTGTTAGCCCCAGAAGTTATACTTCAAATTATAAAGAATAAAAAGGCAGAGCTTAAAATTGTCCCTGAATTGTTGAGAGTTTTGGGGGTGTGTATGTGTGTGTGTGTTTTAATCTGGTAATTTGAAGGATCAGTGGAAAACTATTTGTATAGTTGCAATACATTCAACCATTGCTATGCTCTCAAAAAAATGAAACAACTTGCTTCAATGAAGGCAGAATCTGAGGATGTTGAAACATACCAAACAGTATGTACTGAAAACCAAGAGTAAGCAGAAGCTCAGTTTTAGAGAAATAGATGAAAATATTAAGTAGAATTGCAAAAATAAAAAAATCTATTTAAGGTACAAACATATCTGGACCATAATAGTAATAACTTCCTAAGACTGAAACCATGGGTCCAATTAATTCTTTCAAATTATCTTCCCAATATATAAAAGTAGAATAAAATGGAAAAAAGCATGATCTCATTGGTCTCATCATCTTTCATCCTTCTAAACATTAATGATGAATTATATTAAATTTGCCTCTTGGATCCTTTAGAAATTTCCTACTATAACACATACATAAATTTTTTTTGCTATCCCTCCCCCCCCAAACCCACAACAGGCCCGAGTGTGTGAAGTCCCCCTTCCTGTGTCCAAGTGTTCTCATTATTCAATTCCCACCTATGAGTGAGAACATGCGATGTTTGGTTTTTGTCCTTGCGATAGTTTGCTGAGAATGGTTTCCAGCTTCATCCATGTCCCTACAAAGGATATGAACTCATCATTTTTTATGGCTGCATACTATTCCATGGTGTATATGTGCCACATTTTCTTAATCCAGTCTATCGTTGTTGGACATTTGGGTTGGTTCCAAGTCTTTGCTATTGTGAATAGTGCTGCGATAAACATATGTGTGCATGTGTCTTTATAGCAGCATGATTTATAGTCCTTTGGGTATATACCCAGTAATGGGATGGCTGGGTCAAATGGTATTTCTAGTTCTAGATCCCTGAGGAATCGCCACACTGGTTCAATCGACAGTGTGGCGATTCCTCAGAAATTTCTTTAGTGCCTCTTTCATATCCTTGTTCCGGAAACTGTAGATCAGAGGATTAAAGAATGGAGTTGACAAAGTATAGAACAAGGTCACAAATTTCTTTATCCCATGATAGTCCCCAGAACCTGGGCTAACATACATCACCATAAGAGAACCATAGAAGAGAGACACTACAGCAAGGTGACAGCCACAAGTTGAGAAAGCCTTATGCCTTCCTAAGCCTGAAGGCACCTGTAGCACTGTGCTTAGAACACAGAAATAAGTCCCAAGGATATACAAGAAGGTAAGAAAGATGATGAGAGCGCTAATGATACCACAAGTCAGAGTAATTCCAGGTATTGGAGCACAAGACAGTGCCAGCAAAGGTGCCAGATCACAGAAAAAATGGTCGATAGTGTTTGGACCACAAAAGAGGACCTGAGATATTAGTGTCAAAGGGGTCAATAACCAGAGACAGCCACCCACCCAGCAGAAGATCACAAAAATGAGCACAAACGTGATGGGTCATTAAGGTGGGATAGTGCAAAGGTCTACAAATGGCAGGAAACCTATCAAAAGACATCACTGACAGAAATAAGCACTCTGCAGCACACATGGAGAAGAAGTAGAACCGGAGCAGGCAGCCAGCACAGGAGATGCTCTGTGTCTGGGAGATGAGATTGGCTGCCATTATGGGCACGTCAGAACTGACACAGCAGATCTCCAGGAAGGAGAAATTGGCCAGTAGGATGTACATAGGTGTGTGGAGTTTCTGGCTTGACCACACAGCACAGATGATGGATGTGTTACCTAGGAGGGTCAGAAGGTAGATGAGAGAGAAGACCACAAAAAGGAGGATCTGGATCTCCCAGCGGCAGGGGAAGCCCAAGAGGATGAACTCATTTACAAATCCAGTGGTATTAGTAGTCTCCAAGGTCCTCACTGGTTTGGCCTGTAGAGGTGACAGAGATAGTAAGAACCACAGAAATTCTGCCCTGTCTCCCTTCTATCTCTTCTGGTGAATAGATATATGTTTATTTTCTTCAATTTGGATTTGGGATACTGCTCTCTTCCCCTTGGAAGGATGAGCTGTTCTTTCCTTTTCACCTCCGTCCTAGTTTATTCAATAAATAGTCATTTTGCAAATTATTGCTCTAGAAGATAAAGAACAATGAATAAAATAAAAGAGTCCCTGATCTTATAGAGCTTATGTCAAATACCTTTTGTTCAAAACAACCTCAAGCAGTACGTTGATGGCTCCAAAAGTTCTACATAGAGCAGGCCTTGGAGCATACATGTACTGGAAGGGATCTGAGGAGATTTACCTTGGAACATCATTTGGATAGCGAAGATACTGTTTTTACTTAAATTGTATGCTTCTGATAACTTCAGGAGAAGCTGACACAAATTATGGGGTTGATGTGATCGTCCCTCCACCTATATCAAAATGCTGCCATTGACACAGTAGCAGTAGAATGTGACAAAAACAAAACTTTCTGTGGTTGTCTGAGACACACATAATATTCATTTGGAAATAATAACAAAAGGCTTTTGAGAAGAAAATGAACGTTGACAAAATATAGAATTTTCCATAACGATGGCGGGAAAATATTATTTGCATATAATAAAAATGTAGAAAGATTTGGATACAAAAAATTATACCCAGAGAAGAGTATAAAATAGTACAAGTGTACTTGCAAAAAGTTGTGAGACATAAGGTATAAATATACGGTAATCACATGGCAGAGGACTTGCTGCCAGCCAGTCTAACTAGTTCAAGCTTAATTTGCTAGTCAAGGAAAAACAAGATGTATTAAGTAGAAGAATGAAATAATTGAAGCTTTATGAAAACAGCATTTTTCAAGACCATTTGGTGCAGGTTAATAAAATTAGCAGAAAAATTTGGAAATTATTTCAATAGCCCAAGGAAAAAGTGTAAAAAGCTTGACCTGGGGCAATTACATACAAACAAATACCAGGGAAGGGACAGAGGTAATTAAATTCTGCCCAAGAGGCAGAGGACGAGAACAAGGAAAAAAAAAAAAAAAAAAAAGCAAGGTTTCACTTTCCATTTGCCACAGATAGTCCTCTGCATGGGGTATCTCACAGGCGAGATCCACTTTCAGCACAGTAATTGTGCATTGAGGACCTTTCTGTACCAAAAGATTAGCCTACTGAAGGGTCATGTTGGATATCTCTTAGATTCCCCAGTCCTTTTTTCTTTTGACTCTTTTGAATCAGAATGTTAAATTTCATGAAATAAATTAGCTACCACCTACAAAGATTTCTCTCCAAGTCACACACAATGAGTGAATATGTGCTACGCTGTATCTGTGTGAAAGAGAATAAACAAGAGAGTTAGTCCAAATTATTGCCCAAACCTGCACCAAATGGTCTTGCAAAATGCTGTTTCCATAAAGCTTTGAACATTTCATTCTTCTAGTACATCTTGTTTTTCATTGACTAGCAAATTAAGCCTGAACTAGTTAGACAGGCAGCAATGACTCCCATTTTCCTGTCTTCTAAGAATATAATCCTTTTGAAGATAATCTGCAAGGACAAAATTACTATTTGACAAAAAAATTCTTAATTCTGTGTCTAATAAGCCTAATAATAAAGCTGTTTGTGAAGGAAAATAGTCATGAAAATTTATGCTCCTTTTTATACCAACATCTGAAACAAAGTGGACTTCGAGATACAGAAAAGTTACTGCTCCACCTGCCCATAATTCCATATCCTAAATGTTGCCCAGGAGTCAAATAGCCTCTAAGTAAGGCACCTTTTGATTCTTTTCTTTACAAAGGCCCCTTTCAGGCTTTACTCAGATGTAGAACATGCCACAAATCTCCCCATTCCTCATTACTTATCCCTTCCAGAGTCTGAGGCTCTGTCTCTGGAGATCTCAATCCTGGGACCAGTGGGGGCAATTAACGTGCATTATGCAGGCTTGAGTATGTTTCATCTTCAGAGATAATCATATTGGAGACAAAAACTACATAATATGCATACACGCTCATGTGCAGTCACACACACACTTACACACACACAGATCAGGCTGTTAACATAGCAGTATTCCTTCCAGAGTTTCCTCTCCTAATCTTAATAAATTATCTTTGCGCTAACAAACTTTTTCTGCCATGAGGGGCACCATTACCTTCAAATTTTGTTAATCTCAGAAACTGAGAAGAAAAAAAAAATTCTGGGTCTAAACAGTTTAATAACAAATAAACAAAGGTACCACACTTGGCAGATAAAAAATGACTTTTTGTCTATGTGTCTGTGCAATTAAAACAGATTTAGATTCCCCATTGGGACAAAAGGAAAAACACACAAAAAAAGGAAGGAGGTTCTTTTGAAAAACATACTCCCTTGCTCCAAATTTGTAACAATTTTTTTTCTCTTTTTAAATTCACTACACAAACTCTGTGATGAGGTAAGAAAAGCGACGAGGGCTCTTCTTGCTTTTTTTCTTAAACCATTAAAGTAAAACCCGTAATTTTCTACAGAGTACAACACAAGTTCACACAAAAAAGACATTTTCTTTTGCAAATCAAAACAGGAAAGAAAGGAAAAGCTCAAACAAGGTGAAGGAAAAGCATTTCTACAGCTGAATCACGACTGAGTTGATCGAAGCCCATTGTTGCTGCACAACAGACTGTGCGTTTGGTCACAGCGGCAATTTTTTTTTCTCCTCACATTGTGAAATCACTTTACATTGTTTTCTAGTAGAAAAGGCAAAAAATTGTACAAAACCCCTAGTGTTAAATACGTTTGTACCAATAAAACACTCACACAGGTTTGTCTCCAAAATGTCAAGTTTCTTTTTCTTTGCTTTTTAAATTATTCACAAGACCCCAAATTTTTCATCCATGTTGCCCAATTGGCAGTTTGAAGATCTTGCCCACTAAATCCAGAAGGATCTTATGCCCAGAAATCCACAGAGCTACCCATCTTTATTTCTTATAAACTCTTTTTCTCCACATATAGATCAAACAAGGTAGATGTTAGTCAACTCAGAAGTTAAGATATCAATTGTGTGAAAAAGACAAATCCATTTCCTCTTTTTCAAGTGTAGATCACATTTCTGGGTCCCCTTTGGAGTTAGGTGTGGTCATGTGACCGAGTTCTAGTTCAGAGAAAACAATGAAAACTGCTGTGCAACACTTCAGGCCCTACCCATACAAGGGCCTTGATGATTTTTGATACCATTGAGCACAATGACATTGAAAGACATTTATGAAGATGATGAAGTCAAAGAGAAGTCCTGAATTCCAGAATCAGCACTTGAAGAACCTGCCAATCAGGAGCACCCATTCAGATTTTAAGTGAGCAATAAACTTCTTTTGGCCCAGCATGGTGGCTCATGCCTGTAATCTCAGCACTCTGGGAGGCCGAGGTGTGTGGATCATTTAAGGTCAGGAGTTCGAGACCAGCCTGGCCAACATAGCAAAACCCTGTCTCTACTAAAAAATACAAAAATTAGCTGGGTGTGGTGGCACACACCTGTAATCCCAGCTACTCGGGAGGCTGAGGCAGGAGACTTGCTCGAACCCAGGAGGCAGAGGTTGCAATGAGCCAAGATTGCGCCACTGCACTCCAACCTGGGTGACAGCGAGACTCCGTCTCAAAAAAATAAAGAAAGAAATAAACTTATTTCATGTTTGATCCACTTTAAAAAAATTGTTTGGAGAAGAAAGTGACCAATTGAAACCAACATTTTTACATTTTGAAGAATGTATTAAAAAAGCAATTTGTGAATGGCTGTATCAACATATAATTCAGTGGGCTTATTCCCTTCAAAGACTCAATTCTGAAATAACAGGAATAAATTACGGAAATAATTTCTGGAGACTGAACAATTACTAGGAAGGAATAGAAAGTGAGTGTTAGTGGATACATTTACCACAAGATCACCATTAGGTTGTATTTGAATTTGAATATGATTTCCTTTGAAATATATGATCTTGTGCCTATCTACATTCACGGCAAGCACAATCCTTCCTTTAGCTTGAGCCAAAACCTGTGGGGCAGAAATAAGAAAAACCTTTAGCAGTAGGAAGCAGTGTGGAGTTTTTTAGTTTTTTGAATGCAAAGGTTTACAGAGACCTGAGGACCTTGAATTAAGTGAACATAGTTACAGGGGGAAAAAATAGTAAGAACTATCCCTACCATCAGCATTCAATTAACAGTAGTGAGAAAATACAGCTGTAAACCCAGTTGCAGAAAGTTGAGGATAGGACAAATTCAGAAGCTCTTAAAATCCTGGTAAGTAGAATTAAATTTAATTTAAAGCCAGCCATGGAAATTAAAAGATATAATTAAAGTTTAATTAAAATGTAGAGCGTTTAAGACTTTATGTGAGTGGTATATCACTTTCTTAGATGCTATAAAATTAAATTAGAAATATTGATAGAAAACATGTTCTTGAAAATATTATTTTGCTGCCCTGTTTCAGGTATCTCTATGTCTATAAATTCAATCCCTGTCTTCCATGGGTTTGCTAATGCTGGTCTTTCTGCCCATATGCCCTCACTTTCTATCTCTGCAGTAAAATGTCACCATCCTTCTTAGGCAAATCACACACTAGCTCTTACAACTTCCATCTGAAAATTGCATGCCATTACATCTATTCAGAAATCGATAGGCAAATCAGGGTAGTCTTTTGGTCACACCTAATTTCCAAGTGTCAGGGAGGTACAATTCTATCATGCACTCAGGAGGAAAAACAAAATACTGGTGAACAGAGTAACAACTACAACATTTAAGCTTCCTTTGTTCTTCATGTAAGCATATGATTAAACCTTTATTAAAAGAATGTAAAACAACTATATGTTTAAATTAACTATAATACTTTAAGCTCTTTGATGCAAAGATCTTTTCTTGCCTTTTGTCTTTTTACCTTAGAAAGCCCACAGGACCATGGGTTCTTACTTTGTATCTAATAAATTTTTTAAAAATTTTCCTTCAGTCAAAAATTCACTGAGTGAAGATGAGTACTATATACAACCTCTTCCAGGATACCCCTTTCTGGATATTGGTCATGCATACACTGCATACACTCAACACCATTGCCAAAATTTTGACAACTTGCCCTCAGAAAGATTAGCTACTTTGTTAAATTTTGATTCTTCCCTTTTTTTAATTTAGTTTCTACCCTTGAATCACAGGATTTCACACATACATTGCTATACATATCAGAGTTCAGTACAAGATAGAAAAACAACTCCAAATATTTTAAGCAGAAAGAAATTTAACAGGGAATTAATGCTTGATTAACTCTTTTTCCTTGTTATTCATAGTCATCCTTAGAGAGGTAGCATAATTTTACCACATTAGGATAATCTGCACTTTTGGTGTCTTGTCTTTCAATATCTTAAATGTTTCAAAATGTTCTGTACTATACATTTGATGATATTTATCATACATGGTATCATTAATTGATTCAATCCTTGAGTCAATAAATATTTGTGAAATAACTACTATTCACCAGACACTTTTTTCACTCACTCTTGATATCACAGTAAGGAAATCTGCCTCCAAAAAGTAATTAATTTGTGACATAGCAAACCCCAGAAGGGAAAATTTGAGGTAACACAATGAGTTCACTTGTACACATGGTCAACTATGTGTCACTGAGATATCCAAGTAAAGACAACCAGTCAGCGATTGGACAGAAAAGTCTCAAGCTCAGGAGAGGGTAATAGATATATTAGATATTAGAAGCTGTTAGCACAGAAAGGGCATTTGGACCTGAAGTGGGTATATACTTCCTAAGAAATACTGCCTAAGAAATATGTATGAGAAAAGAGCAGAGAGTCTAACGTCAAGCCACCAGCAATGCCATAATAAGCACAAATAAATATATAGTGGATAGGTGGAGAAGCAAAATACCAAAAAAGAAACAGGAAAAGTAAATAAAGAGGGAAAAAAAAAACAGAAGAAAATAAGCAAAGAAAATGGGATTTTCTTTGAATTTTCATTTAGAGAGTTGTCAGTCTGGTCAAACACTGCTAAAAAGTCAAACAATTCACGAACTTACAAGTAACCATTTGATTTAGGTACATAGAAATCACTGGTGACTTTGGCAAAATTTCAGAGACATTGTGGAGAAGGAAACCAGATTGCTGTAGGCTGAGGAGTGAAGTGACAATGAGAGATACAGAGAACCGGTATAGACATGGGGCTTGGCTAAAGGAGAGGAGAGAGATGAAAACTGAAGGGGGATGTTAGATCAAGGAAGAATTATGTTTTTGTTTTTGTAAGGTAAGGTTGAGCAGGGAAAGGAGAGAAAGGTGGTAAGCAAAGGTACTCGCTCCCTGTAACTGTGGTAGAGGATGGAATACAGAATGTGAAGGGGGAGATTTCAATTTGAACAAAAGGGTAAGAATCTCTTTTATTGCTTATAGGAAGAAATGAAAAGAATGTGAGGACAGATTTTTTTACTTTAGTATGTTCCAATCATCAATAACAATCTTCCTGTGTCAAACTATTGGTTTGTCTTAAGTGATGTCCTAAGTGAAACACACAGTACACTAGCTTTGCCTTCAAAGCTTTCTTTTACTTAAGTAATCCAGCCACATAGAAAAAAATAAATATTGAATAGTATTTTTAGACAGTAAGATAGCTCTCCCACCCAAGACCCTCAGTTCTTCTAAAAGAAAACTGCTATTCCTAAGTCACATATAGATAATCAGTGCATTTACAAATATGTGTATAAACACATGGCTTTGGGCATTTAATTTTTAATTTACATAATGCATAATATTAACAGGTAATAGTTTTACATATTTACAAGGTACACGTGTTATTTTGATACAGGTATATAGTATGTAGTGACCAAATCAAGGTAATTGGGATATCTGTCACCTCAATCATTTATCATTACTTTGTAAGCACGTTTTTAAATAAATTATAGCGTACTAATCACACATTTCTGTACTTTATTTCACTTAGAACTACTTCTTGGACATATTGCTTCTTATCAAAATGTATACATCTATCTTAATTCTTAATGGCTGTGTAGTTTTTCATTCTCTAAATGTAACATGATTTATTGATTCAGTCACCTATTAATAGACGTATTTGTTTCCAAGATTCAGCTATGACAAATAATGCTGAAAGCTTATTAATTTATGTAGAAATTTGCAAAATACACAATATCTGAAAGAAATATTCTGAAAGTGAAAATGCTGAGTCATAAACTGTGCACTTTTTTTTTTTTTTTTTGAGACAGAGTCTCTCTCTGCCACCCAGGCTGGAATACAGTGGCATGATTTCAGCTCACTGCAACCTCCACCTCCCGGGTTCAAGCGATTCTCCTGCCTCAGCCTCCTGAATAGCTGGGACTACAGGCACCTGCCATCACACCCGGCTCATTTTTGCATTTTTAGTAGAGATGGGATTTCACCATGTTGGCCAGGCGGGCCTCAAACTCCTGACCTGAAGTGATCCACCCACCTCGGCCTCCCAAAGTGCAGGGATTATAGGCGTGAGCCACCACACCTGGCCTAAGTGTGCACACTTTAAATTTTGGTCAATATGGCCACATTTTCCTCCAAAGAGGTGTCAGTGCTTTCCTCATTACTGTTGCTTTTCTCTCTATCCTTGGCACCAAGGCCTAGCTTTTCACAAGTTCTTCAAAATGAGCTTCACAAATTATTTTAGCCACAATGTTTTATGGCTTCATTATGGTGATATGAATACTGTCCATATCAGTGACATTAATTACTGTCAGTTGAGAGAATACGGTACATATTCTTGAAGTAAGACTCTTTCATCAAAGGTGACCCAATGTCTACCCTTTAAATCTATATTGTACACACTTAATAATATAAGGTCAGTGACCACATGAAATAAAGATATGGAGTAGGAGAAGGCTGCAACAGCTACCCACAATGCATTATAGAACAAACCTAGCACTGCCACTATTTCAATATGGGCATAGATGGGATATATGATTCTTCAGAACTCACTAGATCTGTTACCAGGCTAACCAGTTATTCCCCATAAAACTCATGACTTCTTACAAATCATTTGCTGGAAAATTTTTATATCCTAATTTCCTGAGATGGGCTCTACATTGTGGCAGATGGCTTTTTGACCTCTTAACTGTACACTCAAATTTTATCTGGCTTGTAAAAGCTCTATGACATTTAGCACAGACTGTATCATACATTCTATATGCAATAGAAAAAAGGTTCCCAAGGATATAAGCTATAAACAAAGCGCTTGTAGTAGTGTAATATAAGGGAGTAATAGTTGTTGCTATCGTTATTTTTTAATTTTAATTGACATACTAATTATATATATTTATGGGATAAACTATGATGCTTCAAAACATGTATACATTGTGTAATGATCAAATGAAGGTAATTAGCATATCCATCACCTCAAACATTTATAATTTTTGCTGTGAGAACAGCAGAGAGATACATTCTGGTTGAACTTGCTACAGAATAGTAACAACTGATGTGCTTCTGCTAGTCTTTTTTTTTTTTTTTTTTTTTTGAGACAGAGTCTCACTCTGTTGCCTAGGCTGGAGTGCAGTGGCACGATCTCAGCTCACTGCAACCTCTGCCTCCTGGGTTCAAGCAATTCTCCTGCCTCAGCCTCCTGAGTAGCTGGGATTACAGGTGCCAGCCACCATGCCTGGTTAATTTATATTTTTGTAGAGACAGGGTTTCATCAAGTTGGACAGGCTGGTCTTGAACTCCTGACCTCATGATCCACCTGCCTTGGCCTCCCAAAGTGCTGGGATTACAGGCGTGAGCCACTATGCCTGGCCAACTTCTGCTAGTCTTTTTGCAGTTTGCCTGCTATTTAGTTATCTATGATCTCCTCTACTTGCATAACTTACCATGAACTAACTTAAGAGCATTCTATGTCAACTAACCTTAGTAACTTTCCCTTGTCTGATGCGTTAAATTTCCTTTCCAATCAATGTGATTGACTCAACATCACACGGTTCAGCAGTTACTAAAATGCACCAAAGAGTTACTACAAGACTGTAATTTAAACCCAGGCAGGCAATTTCAAAAAGCTGTACCTGGTAGCTTTTCTGCAAAGTGGTTGTAACCCAGATGTTCTATCTATGTGAAGGCAGCTCAACAATATTTCTATGAAAAAGGCATTAGCGAACAACCTGACACGTTATCTCAAGAGATACACTATCATTCTACTGCTATACTGGGTACACTTTTGCATTGTCAATAGCTCCCATGATTAAAAGAGAGAATTAATGACAGACATCTTGATTCATACTTTATTTCAATCATCTCACTTGATCCTTCAAACCCTATGGTATTATGTATTTTTTCATTGTAGAAATTAATGCTCAGAAATAAATAGCGCACTACAAAATGCCATAATTGAAACCCAAGCTTGCCAGCGTCTAAAGCCCATTCTTCTACCATGATACCATGGTGCTTTTTTCAAGCGATATGGCTTTTCCCTCTCCTCTAATGACTTTTTTATTCACCTCTCCACCTTGGCTTTATGGCGTGCGCGCACTCACACACATACACACACACACACACACACACACACACACACAGAGCTTAGGTTAGCTCATCATTATTTCTTTAGTACCTGTTATTTGATTTTTTGCCAACCAGGCACCAGACTTAATTTTTTATATTGCATATAGTTTGCTAAATAAGGGACATGTAGTAATAAAATAATATCCCAGAGGACATTTTCACATTTTACTTGCTGTTTCTCTTTCAAAATTTCCAACGTTAGAAGAGGCAAACAGCCATAGGCTCTGGATATAATAGCTTCAGCTGCAAATAAAAAAATTGTCTTTCTGGATGGAAGGTGTGAAAAGGACTATTATTGCATCAGTCTCTCAGCTACTCTCCCACAGAACATTGCGGTCCGTTCAAACGAATGAGGACAGTAGTGAATAAACCAGTCTTTTAAACTTGTGTAAGATTTTCCATACCTGGGTTTCAGATCATTTTAGAGGCAAGTATTAATTTATTCTTTTTTCTCCTAATTTTTCATATGGACAAATTTAGGCACAGAGGAGATAATGAACTTGGCAGAGAATCAGGAGCAAAACATTGATGGAAAATGATGCTGATTTAAATGTTTCCTGCTTGCATTTCTCATAATGAAAGCACAGCCATATTGTGACACTTGTTATTTTATGGTTCACTGAAGAGCCGCAATAACAAATTTTAAATACCTATCAAATGTCATAAAATGTCATTTAATATTGTTCTTGGTTTGTTAAAGGGAAAATGAAAACTGATAAAGTTCATGTATATTTTGTGCTAGTTCAATAAACTAAATACCATACTATAAGACTTTCAGCAAACATACAGTCAATTGTAATATGGTAATATTAAATAAGAGGGTACTACACTTTTTCAAGAGAAAGTGGTCTTATTAAAAAGGTTATTTTAATGATGCTCTAAACAATTTCTTTGGCTGCATCACAGCATAGGTTCAGTTCATAATAAAAGTTGCCTTTGAACAAAGTATTCTAAATTTTTACAAGACTCCAATTCTCCTGTGCAATTACGGAATTTGAAATGTAATTCTCCTGGAACCATAAAAGAATTAAGACCAGAGAACTGCTGTTAAGAATAAAGCAAGATAAAAAGGAATTGCTTCAAAGACCCTTTTTATTCTTCTATTTTTTAGTGCCACGTTATATTCCAAGTCACTATGTTGTTATGGAAAAGGACAATGAGAAAATCCACTCTAGACAATTGAACATTTCTAGAATGTTGACTCAGGGCTATTTTTCTCTTGATAATTATGTATTAATTCAATATGGACATCTGTATGTGAAATCCTCAAAGAATTTCCAGAAGAATGGATGATATATCAATGCACAACTGTTTGGCATTGGTTTATTGTGGACTCAGCACTGTGTTAGGCACAATGGCTCAGGCAAATTGTTTGGGAACATGGCCCCTGCTCTAGATCTGCATGGCATTTGTTTATCATTTGAACTGAGATGTGGTTATTACAACTTAACTTCTATCTCTATTTCACATTCCATTAATCATCAAGTACTATAGATTCTATCACCTTCATAATCTTTCAAATCTGCCCATTTTACTACATGTGCAATACCACTGTTAATGATGATCACAATAAGCTCCTAACCATCCTCTTTGTCTTCAATCCTATCCACTTTAATTCATTCTGAACAACAGTTTGGAAATAAAATTGTGAGTGTATCACCCCTCCATTTTAAACTGTTCCAGAGTATTTTCATTTAACTCCTGCCACAGTTTAAGCCCATCAGCATAACCAGGCAAGGTCCTCCGTAAGCTGACCCTTCTTAAACTTCTAGCTTAGAATTTTTACTCCTTCTGCAAATATTTCATCCAAATTAAATATCATGTAGTTTCCTAAGAGAGATTCTTCTCTCTTCTTCTCCCAAGTCCTTTTTTATTTCCTCCTTTTAGAGCGTACTTCCTCTCACCTTTCACCTGACTCATGTTACCAGTCTGTTGAGACTTAGTTCAGAAATCACATCTTTCATTTTTTCTTTCCCCACCCTCTCCTCTCCTATGAATTAAGTCTTGTTTCTATGTAAACAATTAGCTTAGATATTTATAACTGATGCTGTACTTATATGGTTCTGTTGTCTTCCATGAACATGTGTTAGATCTTTGAAGACAAATATATGTTATTCATCTTATGAAATTTGTCCTACACAGAATTTGGCACATGGTTATCCATTCAAATGTTTGTGGAATAAATATGAATAAACTCAAAATAAAGAGAACATATATTAATTTTGTCCTAATTTGCAAAATTCTCCATTTTATTTCCCTCACTGCAAACTATCCCCACTGACAGAATTGGTATCTGATTTCATAGTGTTGATTTCTAACATTTTTAAACAAAAAACTATGTTTCAATTATAAATCATGTATTTAGGTAAGAATCCTTGCTTCATCAACTATAAGAACATAAATTCTAAGACATTTTCTCTACTGAGATGTTAAAATGTAGGGAGAAATGTGTGTTTTATAATTAACGAAATAAAATTCCTTAAGGTCTTACCATATGCTTGGCCCCATGCTGTGTTTTATATTAATCAGTTCTCTTAATCTTCACCACAGTCCTATGAGGAGGGTATTTTTATTATTCTCATTCTAAAAGTTAATAAAATAAGTTCAAAAGAAAGGTAATTTTCCCAAAGTTACCCAGATTATAAGTGGCAATTGTAGGATTTATCTCTATCTTACTCTACTGTCTGAAACATTCTCGATATTCCTTTTTTGGGTTCAGTACTAAGAAAAAACTATAGAAAATAACATTACTGGTCCTCATTTTAGAATATTCTTTCCTTGGGTTCATCATACACACACGTGCACACATAAACACAAACATACACAGTAATTGTAAACGGTGTGGTAATTTCTTTAAATTTTGTTAAAATACCTCCCGAGAAAAATGGAGACAAGTAGGGGAGAGAATCTCAGAGCTTGAAGACTATCTTTCTGAAATAAAACAGGCAGGAAACAATAGAGATAAAAGAATAAAAAAGACTAAACAAAATCTCCAAGAAATATGGGATTATGTAAAGAGACAGAACCTACGACTGATTGGGGTACCTCAAAGAGATGGGGAGAATGGAATCGAGTTGGAAAACATACTTTAGGATATCATCCAGGAGAACTTCCCCAACCTAGCAAGACAGGCCAACATTTAAATTCAAGAAATTCAGAGAACTCCAGTAGGACACTCCATGAGAAGATCAATCCCAGGACACATAATGATCAGATTCTCCAAGGTTGAAATGAAAGAAAGAATGTTAAGGGCAGCCAGAGAGAAAGTCCAGGTCACCTACAAAGGGAAAGCCATAAGAGTAACAGTGGACCTCTCAGTGGAAACCCTCCAAGCCAGAAGAGATTGGGGGCCAATATTCAACATTCTTGAAGAAAATAATTTCCAGCCTAGAGCTTCATATCTGGTCAAACTAAGCTTCCTAAGCTAAAGAGAAATAAGATCCTTTACAAACAAGCAAATCCTGAGGGAATTTGTCACCCTCAGGCCTGCCTTGTAAGAGCTCCTGAAAGAAGCACTGAAAATTGAAAGAAAAAATTGTTACCAGCCACTACAAAAACACACTGAAATACACAGACCAGGGACACTATGAAGCAACCACATGCACAGTTCTGCAAAATGACCAGCTAGCATCATGATGACAGGATCAAATTCACACATAACAATACTAACTTTAAATGTAAATGGGCTTAATGCCTCAATTAAAAGACACAGAAAGGCAAGCTGGATAAAAGGCCAAGACCCATCACTATGCTGTCTTGAAAAGAGCCATCTGACGTGCAAATACACACATAGGCTCAAAATAAAGGGAAGGAGGAAAATTTACCAAGCAAATAGAAATCAAAGAAGGGGTTGCGATCCTAGTTTCTGACAAAACAGACTTTAAACCAAAAAGATCAGAAAAGACAAGGGCATTACATAATGGTGAAGGGTTCAATTAAGCAAAAAGAGCTAACTCTATTAATCTACATATGCACCCAACATAGGAGCACCCAGATTCATAAAGCAAAGAGTCACAAAGAGACTTAGACTCCCACACAATAATAGTGGAAGACTTTAATACCTCACTGACAATATTAGACAGATCATTGAGACAGAATACTAACAAAGATATTCAGGACCTGAACTCAGCTCTGGATCAAGCAGACCTGATAGATACCTACAGAGCTCTCCAGCTCAAAACAACAGAGTATACATTCTTTTCATCACCACGTGGCACCTTAAAATTGATCACGTAATCAGAAGTAAAACACTCCTCAGCAAATGCAAAAGAATTAAAATCATAACAAACAGTCTCTTAGACGGCAGCACAACCAAATTACAACTCAAGATTGAGAAATTCACTCAAAGCCACACCATCAAATGGAAATTGAACAACCTGCTCCTGAATGACTCCTAGAAAAATAACGAAATTAAGGCAGAAGTCAAGAAATTCTTTGAAACCAATGAGAACAAAGAGACAATGTACCAGAATCTCTGGGACACAACTACAGCAGTGTTAAGAGCGAAATTTATAGCACTAAATGCCCACATCAGAAAGTGGGAAAGATCTAAAATTGACACTCTAACATCACAATTAAAAGAGCTGGAAAGGCAAGAACAAACAAATTCAAAAGCTAACAGAAAAAAAGAACTAAGATCAGAGCAGAACTGAAGGAGATGCAGAAATAAAAACTCTCCAAAAAATCAATGAATCCAGGAGCTCGTGTTTTGAAAAAAATACACAATCAATAGACCACTAGCTAGACTAATAAAGAAGAAATGAGGGAAGAATCAAATAGACACACAAAAAAATGATTAACTCCACCGAAATACAAACTACCATCAGAGAATACTATAAACACCTCTATGCACATAAACTAGAAAATCTAGAAGAAATGAACAAATTCCTGGACACACACACCTTCCCAAGACTAATTCAGGAAGAAGTTGAATTCCAGAATCGACCAATAACAAGTTCTGAAATTGAGGCAGTAATTAATAGCCTACTGATCAAAAAAAGCCCAAGACCAGGTGGATTCTAGGACGCAAGGCTGGTTCAACATTTGCAAATCAATAAACACAATACATCACATAACCAAAACCAAAGACAAAAACCACATGATTATCTCAATAGATGCAGAAAAGGCCTTTGATAAAATTCAACATCCCTTTATGTTAAAAACTCTCAAACTAGGTATTGGTGAAACACCGCAAAATAATAAGAGCTATTTATGACAAACCCATAGCCAATATATTGAATAGACAGAAATGGTACGACGGACATAATACTATTGCACCCCTACTAGACTACAGTGTAGTATAAACATAAACTTTAGATGCACTGGGAAACCAAACACTTCCGTCTGACTTGCTTTATTGCAGTGGCCTGGAACTGAATCCACGATATCTGAGGTATACCACTATTTGAACTGAATAAAATTGGTAGCTTTCACTTTGTTTTTACTTCTTCAGCAATCATAACAAATTTTGGTGTATTTAAAGTACAGCAAGGTAATTATTATCTTCAAAGAGCCCCTAAATTAGTAGAGAAGAGAATACCTATAAAAATGTAAAAACAATGCTGGTAAATAATGACAAATGGCATAATAAGGGAATAGATCCAATGGTTAAGAATTGCACAAAAATAAAAATCACTCTATTTAGAATTGGAAAAAGCACCAGGAATGGTATCTTATTTTAACAAAATTTGTAAAACTCAAAAGGCTGACATAAGTGATGGGCTCTGGGTATATGAACAGGCTGAGCAAGAGTGGAGTGTAGAAATTTCCCAGAGAATTGAGAAATACTTTTATGACTTGTATGTCAGAGAGTACACAGCAAACATAGCGCAATGTTAAGACTATAGATCTGGAGTGGTTTCTAGCCTCCACTCCTGGTTATTTCCTACTGATTAGCTGTGGGGCATTAATGAAGTCACTTAACATCCCTGAACTGGAGTTTTCTCATAGATGGAATGGGACTAGTGATACAACTGATTTACAACTATTGAGATAGAATTTTTTGTTAGTGGAAGAAAGAGATGGATAGATAAAAAGATGAGATAAGTCTGGGGAAAGAAATCAGGTCTTTTAGAGATGTACATTAGGGATTTAGAACTTCTTGCCATAGGGCATGTAAAATTTAACTTGGATTACATGAACTGGTTAATGCACATGATACAATTATTTAAATTAATTAAATTCAGAAAAATTATTAACTTTTGCTTACTAGATTACCTATGACAATGAACTTTCTGACATTGAAAACGCAAAGATAAGTAATAGCTACAATGTATTTTCAGGTCCCTATATAGTTGATATTTTATTAGATTCTACATGCTACTAGAACATTCAAATAGATACAGTTAAGATAGAGCAATGAGAATAAAACATTTCAAAATCTAATTTCCCTTAACATATTAATTTAACGTGATGTTAAAATATTTTATATAATCAATATCATATAACAAATTTTATAATAAAATATTCTTCGTTATGACAAAACTATTTTTCCTTGACTGGATTTACAAATGGTTGAGAGCAGTTATTTGCCTTTGACTCTTGTGGAGACCACAATCTGCTGGTTTACATTATTTATTTGTTTAGAGACTCATTTCCCTAATTAACTGAACAGAGGCAAACTTCACAGGTTCCAGAAATTAATGATATTTTATTGGCCTAGTAGTCCAGATAAAAAGGGAATTTCTGACAGGATGATTTAGATAATTGTCTCAATTTGCTTCATAGCTTTCTACTTATTGATACATCATTAGAGTTTACCTCGTGTATTCTCACAGGCACAGGTAATCAGTTGAATATATCTATAGGTGATTCAGCCTGTGTTAAGTGCCTCCTCAGTAAAGTATGTGCACATGATTGCATTGTTGAAGGTACATTACCAATAAAGATACCATGAAATTGCAAATCAATTCATAGATTTGTTAAAAACACTCAAACTTTTTCTTAAGAAAAATAGCTTTTTCTGTGTTTTAATTTTTTTCTCAATGATAATGTCAGCGTTAAAAAGATACACTCAGGTGCCTCGATGCTTCCTCTCTGTAAGTTGTATCTTGGTAAGTATTCAGAACAAAAAATAAGCATACAGATTTCTTAAACTTCGTTTTGGTAAAAGCTAACACACAAATACACACACACTAGCCTAGGCCTACACTGGGTCAGGATCATCAACATCAGTCTTCCATCTCCACATCTCCTCCCACTGGAAGGTCTTCCGAAGCAATACCACACATGGAGCTGTCATCTCCCATGGTAACAATGCCTTCTTCTGAAATAGCTCCTGAAGGACCTGCCTCAGGCTATTTTAGTTAACTTTTTTGTTTGTAAGTAGAAGGAATGCATTCTAAAATAATGTCAAAAATCATAGTATACTAAACACATAAACCAGTAACATAGTTGTTCATTATCAACTTTTATGTACTATGTATACTTAAATGTGCTATACTTTTTTTTTTTTTTGAGACAGAGTCTCGCTCTGTCGCCAAGTCTCGAGTGCAGTGGCGCGATCTCGGCTCACTGCAAGCTCCACCTTCCGGGTTCACCCCATTCTCCTGCCTCAGCCTCCCGAGTAGCTGGGACTACAGGGGCCTGCCACCACCCCTAGCTAATTTTTTCTATTTTTAGTAGAAACGGGGTTTCACCGTGTTAGCCAGGATGGTGTCGATCTCCTGACCTCGTGATCTGCCCGCCTTGGCCCCCCGAAGTGCTGGGATTACAGGTGTGAATCACCACGCCTGGCCTATATGCGCTATACTTTCATAGAACCAGGAGCTCAGTAGGTTTGTTTACGCCATCATCACTACAAACACGTGAGTATTGCGTTGTATTACAAGGTTAAGACGGCTATGCTGTCAGTAGACAATGAGGATTTTTCAGTTTCATTATAATTTTATAGAACTACCCTGATACATGCAGGCCATCACTGGTGAAACCTTGTTATGTAGTGCATGACTGTATTATATTGGAAGAAAGAGTGAGATAATATGCTGACACTCACACCGGGCTCATGCGCCAGTAGGAGGAGGTCGCCCTCCAGAGACTGCAGGAGAAGGGGGAGAACTCCTCCTTGCCCTGGCTGTTCCTCCACCACTTCCACCGAGGCCTGTGGTACAGCACCCGAAGCTTCCTACCCACCCTAGGCCTGGCCGGGCAGGCCCCGCAGCGCTCCTACTCCCTCTTCCCGGCCCCTGGACTTGCGGCTGCTGCCACAACTAGCGCAGATGTCACTATAACCATCGCTGCTGTTGCCCTCAATGCACTGGCCCACCCTACAAAGCTCCTACTACCTGGCCACCGCCGCAGCCCTGCCCCTGCCATGGCCACAGCTGGCCGTCCTCCTACCGCTCTGGTGCGAGGTAGTCTCGGTAGCTGCCACCAACCGCAGCAAGGCGAGCAGCAGCCCCAGGCTATCTGCAAGCTTCCAGCATGTAACTCCTCCTCCTCCTGGCATGGAACAGCTGGACACACACAGCCAAAAAAGCCTAGAGGAGAATGCAGAGACTGATAGCGTTAGAGCCTCACCTTGTCATCCTGGCCACTGGGTGGCAGGGGCCAGTCTCAGTGAAGGCACTCATATCCACCCTCCAAAGTCCAGCCTCTCCTTTTGGCTCAAGCGGGCCAGGAACTGGGACCTGGAGTGGTGACTGGTAACATCACACTGCCTGGCTCCAATCCACAGGAACCGCTGGGCCCACCAGGACTGCGCTCCTTGGGGAACAAAATCAGCAGGAACTCAGACACAGCCAGCCCTCCCACCCAAATGCCGGTTCCCCATCCCAATGCCTCCACCCACAGAGCCCTGTCTCCCCGTGGTGTCCCCGCCACTCCGTGTCCAGCGTGCCTAGGGGTGCCAGGTGGTCTCCGCAACACAGAGCGAAAAGGGCATGGCCCCGGGAACCCCGGCGGGTAAGGGGTCCTTGCCGTGCTCAGGATTACTGCGGAAACGCCGTGCGCTCGCTGCGCTCTAGCAGGAGCAGGAGGAGATCGCCTTTTAGAGTCTGAAATCCAGAAAGAGGAAGAAGGCTCCTTCCTTGGAGACCCTGTTGCTGCAAGCTCTGCCGCCACCAGCAAGGCAGCCCCTGATGGCGCCCCTAATCCGCTGCCTGATGTTGGCTCTGGGATAGCGCCCCCAACACCGCCCCTCGCCGCTGCAATGTAAAACCCAATAGCGCCCCCAACCCATCCCTGCCTCGGACGTCGCAGCACCAGATAACTCCCCCATCCTACCGTCTGCCGTCGGCCATGCAGCCACGGATAGGACCTCCAGCTAACCCCCGGCTGCGGGCAGTGATGCCCCGGAGAGCACGGCCACCTGCTCCATGCCGTCAATAGTGCAGCCATGGATCCTTAAGGTCCCCAACCCCCTCCCCACGACGAGCAGTGCAGCCCTACATAGCAGATAGCACCCCCAACTGTCCCCCACCCAGGGGGAATGATGCCCTGGATAGTGCACCCCACCCGCACCCCGCCATGGGCAGTGCAGCCTCCGACAGCACCCCTAACCTGTATACCGCTGCCAAAAATATGGTCCCCGATAGCACACCAAACCCAGCCCCCACCACAAACAGTGCAGCAGCTGATAGAGCACCTAACTCGCCCCACCGCCACTGACCACAGTGCAGCCCCCGAACGGTGCCCACAACCCACCCCACCACCCCGCCTGCCACCGGCCGGGTATCACCCCCAAACCGCCCCTTGCTGTGAGGAGTGTATCCCCTAGTAGCGCACCCAAACCTGCCCTCTATCATGGGCAGTCTGGCCCGATAGCGCCCGAAACCGCACCCTCCAAGCACCTACCCGCACCCACCGCTGCCCCGCCCCACCACCAGCAGTGTAGCATCTGATACTGCCTCTAACCTCTCCCCTGCCATGGACATTGCAACCCCACATAGCGCCCCCAACAAGCCCCCACCATGGGCAGTGCAGCCCCAGATAGCATCCCCACCCCGCTGTCGGCAATGAAGCCCGACCAGTAAGCACCCCCACCAGTCCGCACCCTAACCAGCCCTCCCACCACCATGCCGCCGGCAGTGCAACCACAATAGCAGCCCCAACCCGGCCCCTGTCGCGGGCAGTGCAGCACCCAATAGCACCCCCAACCAGCCCTACTGCTGCCATCAATACAGCCCAAGATAGTGACCCCAACCCGCCCCCCACCAACCCCCCCCCACCCGCTGCTGAGGGCAGTGCAGCCCCGGATAGCACACCTAAAAGCAGTGACGCCCAAAATAACACTCTAGTACACCCAAAGCAGTGACACCTGGAATAATACCCCAACCAGCCCCCGCCGCGGGCAGCCCTGGATAGCTTACCTACCCCATTGCCTTTCTACACTCTGGCCAGCTGCAGTATCCGTCGCTGCCACCAACCACAGCGAGGCCAGCCAGGGAGGCGAGCCAGCGAGGCCAGCCGCAGTCCTGCAGGCTCTAGCCTCCAGCCTATGGTAGGTGCTTTCTCCTTCTTTCCTTCCTGTAGCCAAGCACGGAGCAGCTGTCACTGCCAGCTGCCTCTCTCCATTGCCACCACACACCATTCAAGGCTCCAGGGCTCCAGGTTCCAGGCTCCAGCCTGCGGCAGCACAATCTGCTGCCGCTTTCTCCAAACTCTGCGGCAGAAGTACAGGTTAACACACGATAGCCTGCAACAGCGCGACGCCCCCTTAGCATACCTTATATACTGGGGGGTTGTGCAGGCCTGGTTCTCGGACTTCACGTTCTGATTGGATGAGAGAAACATCTACGCCTACTCTGATTGGACGTTATTTTCATGTTCTGATTGGATCAGAACAAGTCTTAGGCTAACCAATCAGAACGTGACAATAAAGTCCAATCAGAGTAGGCCTAGTGTTTTCCTCTCATCCAATCAGAACATGTAGTTTATAATCTCGGTATATAAAGCATGTTAAGAGATAGAGTTGCACTATTCCAGCCTCGTCGGCATCTGACTTCATAGCTGCTCCATTGCCAGCTTGGAGTAGGAGGTGCCAGCCACTGCATGCTGGAGGCTGCAGCCTACCGGGCTGTGGCTGGCCTCCCTGGCTCACCACCTCGCCGGCTTGCCTCGCCTTGCCTCGCTGGCTTGCCTTGCCCGCTGCGGTTGGTGGCAGCGATGGACACTGCAACCGGCCAGAGTGTAGAAAAGCGTCGGGGTAAGTGCGCTATCCAGGGCTGCACTGCCCTTGGCCTGGGACGGGTTGGGGGCCCTATCTCAGGCGTCACTGCCCACCTTGGGTGGCTGGTTAGGTGTGCTATCTGGGGCTGTGCTGCCTGCACCCAGGGGTGGTTTGGGGGCCCTAACCGGGGCTGCACTGCCCTCGGCGGGGAGCCTGTTGGGGAAACTATCCCAGACTGTATTGCTGGCAACAGTGAGGTGGGCTAAGTGTCCTATCCAGGGCTGCACTGCACGGCTGTTGCGGGGGGGTGGTGGTTTCAGGTTGAGGGTGCTATGGGGTGCTGCAATGCCCGTGGTTCGGGGAGGCGGGGCGGTTTGGGTGTGTTGGGTGCGCTATTGCGGGGGGGCTACACTGCTGGTGGCAGGGGGCAGGGTGGGTTGGGGGCCATATCAGGGGCTGCACTGATTGCTTTAGCTAGGGTTTCCAGTACTATGTTAAATAACAGTGGTGACAGTGGGCATCCTTATCATGTTCCAGATCTTAGAGGAAAAGCTTTCCATTTTTCCCCATTCCATATGATTCTAGCTGTGGGGGTCTCTCATGTGGTTTTTATTGTGTTGCAGTATGTTTCTTCTGTACCCGTTTTTTGAGGATTTGTAGTATGTTCCCCAAATTGAATATACCATTTTTTAAAAAGAGACTGAGTCTTGCTGTTATGTTGCCCAGGCTGGTCTCAAACTTCTGGACTTACGCGATCCTCTTCTGCCTCAGCCTTCAGATAGCTGCAGCTATAAGCATGCACCACCGCACCCAGCTTGAAGATACTGTATTTTTAATTCCATATTGTCAAGCGTTTAAGTTACTTTTCTTTAAAAAATTAATATTAATTCAAAGGAAGAAATTGGCAGAGTGAAAAGACAACCTACAGAATGGGAGAAAATATTTGCAAAGTATGTATCCAGCAGAGGATTAATATCCAGAATATACAAGGAACTCTTGACATCTCAATAGCAAAAAAAAAAAAAAAAAAGAATCCAACTGAAAAATGGGCAAATGACCTGAATAGATATTTCTTAAAAGATGACAGACACATGACCAACAAATATGTTTTCCTAAAAAGCTCAACATCACTAGTCATCAGGGAAATGCAAATCAAAACCACAATGAGGTGTCATCTCACCCCACTTAGAATGGCTACTATCAAAAAGACAAAAAATAGCAAATGCTGGCAAAGATGTGGAGAAAAGTGAACACTTAAATGGGGCTAGTGGAAATGTAAACTAGTACAGCCACCATGGAGAACAGTGTGGAGGTTCCTCAAAAAACTGCAAATAGAACTATTATATGGTCCAACAATATATTATTGGACATTTATCCAAAGAAAAGGAAATCAGTATATTGACGAGACATCGGCACCCCCGTGTTTATTGCAGCACTATTCACAATAGCCAAGATATGGAATCATCCTAAGTATCTAACAACAGATGAATGCATAAAGAAAATATGGTATACATACACAATGGAATACTATTTAGCCATAAGCAAGAATGAAATCCTGTAGTCTGAGGCACATGGATTGAACTGGAGGACATCATATTAAGTGAAGTAAGCCAGGGACAGAACATTAAGTACTGTGTGTTCTCATTCATTTGTGGAAGCTAAAAAAACGTTGATCTCATAGAGGTAAAAAGTAGAACAGAATACTACAGGCTGGGAAGCATAGGGTGCAGGGATGGTAGAAAGCAATTTGTTAAAGGTTTCAAAATTACAGCTAGATAGGAAGAGCAAGTTCTAGTGTTGTATAGCACTGTAAGATGACTGTAATTAACAACAATATGTTACACAGTTTCAAAGAGTTAGGAGGAGGATGTTGAATGTTCCCAGCACAAAGAAATGATAAATGAGATTATGGATATGCTAATTACCTCGATTTGATCTCTGCAAATCTATGGGAATGTTACTATGTTATTCATAAATACTAATAAATACATCAAAAATTTTAAAATTAATAATGAACAAAAGATAAGGGGCCCTGAACTCTAGCTTTAGGGCTGAATTGTATCCAGTCAGATGGTTTATATGTTATTTAAACTTTCACTTTAAATTTGGAGTGGAAATATGTTTGGAAATCCTTACTTTTAGTATGTTGATTTGTGTGTGTGCGTGAGGTAAATTTGGTTGGCTATTGGCAAATGTACTGGGTAGCTACTTAATGAAACATTTCCTTCCAGTGTTTCAGCTTTCTGATTCTTAGAACATGTGTATATTTAACAAAATATGCATTATCACTTTTGAAAGTAGTTATTCTAACACTTATTTGTGCTAAATTAGAATATGAATTTGGGAACTATTACTCTTTTCTATGGTCTGGAATAATTTAAGTAATAGAAATTATCTGATTAGATAGAAATTCATTGTAAAATCATCAAGTTTAGAAGCTCTTAAGATTTCCTTTGACTTTTGCTTATTAGTTTTAAAGAAAAAAATAAATTGACATAATGGAAATTTTCACTATACATCAGGAAGGGAATTCAGTGGAAAAGTAAGCTTCCTACTCCCTCTTGACCTTCAGTTTATACTTTTCTTCCTAAGTCAAGTACTGCTACTGGTTTCTTATGCTGTTTCTAGAACTAGCTTATCTATTGTCTACTTAAAATAACTCTTTAATCCTTTTATTTGAGCTGCCTTATGGATCTATGTAGTTTTTCTGTCTCTCTTTAAAATTTTTTATGCGGTAGAATACATATAACATAAAATTTACCATCTTAGCCATTTTTAAGTACACAGTTTAGTAGCACTATCTTTCACATTGTTGTGCAACCAATCTCCAAAACCTTTTCATCGTGCAAAACAAATTCTGTGTCTATTCAACTGCTCTCCATTCTTTCCTACCTGCAATTCCTGCAACCATCCTTCTACTTTCTGTCTCTCTGAATTTCACTATGTCACATAAGTGGAATCATACAGTATTTGTCTTTTTGACATGGGCTTATTTTACTTAGCATAATGTCCTCCAGTTCCATTCATGTTGCCTTGAAAGGCAGGATTTCATTCTTTATGGCTGAAATAGTGTTCATCTTGTTGTAGCATGTCAGGATTTCCTTCCTCTTGAAAGCTGAATGATATCGTATGTATATACCAACATTTTGTTGATCTAAATGTATCTGTCAATGGATTTTTCGGTTGTTTCCACCTTTTGACTATTATAAATAATGCTACTATGAACATGGGTGTGCCAGTAACTTCAAGGCCCTGCTTTCATTCTTCCGAATATACATCCAGAAGCGGAATTGCTGGATCATATGGTTATTCTATTTTTAATTTTTTGAAGAATTTCTATTATTTTTAAAGTCACTTTTCATGGTTTGTTCTTTCCTACAAAACATGTTTTTCAATTTTATCAGTGCAGAGTTGTATATAATATTTATATATTTTACTTGTACAATTAAAGGCTGTATTTTATTTCTATATTATCATATAATTACCTTCAGTATCTATGTTTGTAACTGTTTCCTCATTTCTTTTTTTCCTCGTTCACGTTTACTATTTTATTGGTCTTTAAAACCTAGGCTTTCTTTTTTTTTTTTTTTTTTTTTTGAGACAGAGTCTTACTCTGTCGCCCAGGCTGGAGTGCAGTGGCACGATCTCCGCTCACTGCAAGTTCCGCCTCCCAGGTTCACACCATTCTCCTGACTCAGCCTCTCCTGAGTAACTGGGACTACAGGTGCCCGCCACCACGGCCGGCTAATTGTTTTTTTATGTTTTTAGTAGAGACGGGGTTTCACCATGTTAGCCCAGGATGGTCTCGATCTCCCAACCTCGTGATCCGCCCACCTCGGCCTCCCAAAGTGCTAGGATTACAGGCATGAGCCACCATGCCCAGCCTACTTCTTTTTTTGTCATTTCTAATTGACTGGTAAGTACATTATATCATTACTGCAGCAGATTTATGTTACAGTGTTTTACCTGTTTATGTTAGAATCAGTTTATGTTTCTGGAATCTGGAATAGGATAATACCTATTTGATTTGAAATTGGACAGAGAGTAGCTTTATGTTGGTCCAGATAATCTCATTTCTCATTTGGACAAGATATTTGAGGGTTTGAAAAATTCCTGTGATGATTAAAGGAGAAAACTCTTGTGAGTTATTGTATGCTGAGACACACACACACACACACACACACACACACGCAGTTTATTGCATTGTTGGGTTTTATACATAAAATTACCCAAGTTGCAAATATATGTCTTACAACTTTGACTCTCAGGATAGTGCAGCAGGATGAAGCGCAACCGCCCCCGCCCCCCCTCCCCGATTTGCCAACAAGGGCAGACCAAACTAGAAGTGTGGCGCTGTACATGTTTCTGTGGAACCCTGACAGTGAAGCTGTTCTGGTTGCCATGTCCTGTTTCCGCCACCTCTGTGAGGAAGCAGATACCTGGTGTGGGGTGGATGAAGTGTCAGTGCATCACCTCTTGCCCAACTGTAGCACATTCATGGAGTTTGCCTCTGTCAGCAATGTGATGTCAACAGGTAAATGTGAATAGTGGTTTTTTTACTCAACCTGCCTGAAGCACGTGGCATCTAATTGTGAGAATGTATTTAAGGTTACTACTTTGTAAGTTTACAGGGGAGATTCAAGTAGCTTACTTGAAATCCTTTTCTGAACAAAGAAATGAAACAAAGATGAAAAGAAAAAGCATTTGAAATAGTCTCCCAGTGAGTTTTTAATATGCTATATGTTTTAAAAATAACTGGCAGTATATGTTACTATCAGTTGTGATCATATAATTTACCCCACCTAAGTTGTAGATAGTGAAGTTTTATGCACATTGGCATATGTTTTGAGTAAATTATAGGTGGGAATAGCTATTTTGTGCTGTGGACATTGTAGAGTTTAAGATAAGTACCTTTCCTGTGAGGTTAGTGAAAGGAAGTTTTTGGCTTTATCATTTGAGGCATTTGCTCTGCTCCTCCTACTCTGCCTTTTGGGTAGGGCTTATGAGGTTCTCCATGGGCAGGCAGGGCTCTAAGTGCAGTGACTTGATTGGCTGTTGTATTTGCTTAGGAACAGCAGCACTTCAGAAAGAGTGATGGCACTGCGGAGGCGCACTTAGCATCCCACTGCAGGAAACACTGAGGTGTGCTCTTAGCAAGAGAAACACCCCTCCTAGGCGCCCACCCTCAATTTTGGAAACCTATTGTTACATATGTGTAATCAGGAATAGCTTTTGAAGTAAATCCAAGATATGTGCGTGTTAGAAGTGTAATATCTGAGTACTTATTATACATCAAGTTTGAAACTTGGCCATTGCTGGTTGACGTTTAGCTCTAGACTTAAAGTTGCTTTCAAGTGATAATTGCCTTCATTTTAGGCTTGGGAAGATACACATGCAAAATGGGAACAAGCAACAAAACTAATCTTTAACTATCCAAAAGCCAAAATGGATGACAGCCAGGTAAGTCTGTAAAGTTGACTTTTGTCTATTAACTGATCTGCTAAATATATGTCCTTCTCTTTGGTAATCTCTCACGAGTCACTCAGTAAAGTAAGCATATAGTTGTCTGAAGACTGATATTTAGTTGTGGTTTATCTAGACCTGTACTTCGTAATATGGTAGCCACTAGCTACGTGTGACTATTTAAATTTTAACATAATGAAAATTAAATACAATTTAGTTCCTCAATCATATAGTAGCCACATTGCAAGTACCCAGTAGCCACATATGACAGTCTGGACAGCAGAGAGAGAAAATGTTTCCATCATCACAGAAATACTGGGCAGCACTGCTAGAGACTGTTGCAGAGACCATTTATCTTTTCTTGCTCTTTATCCCTTCATCAGGGTGTTTCACAGAATTTTCAGAAAAGGAGCAACAGAGGTAGAGAAAAAAAACATGGAAACAATTCATTTTGCTATTTTGTTAAGTATTCTAATTAAGGAATGTCTTGGGCAAAAGATTGAACCCATAGATTAAATGAGATTTTAAAATGTGGACAGTTCATTCAACTATTACTATTGACTATATTATCTGTTACTCTGGAAATTGATGAGTTGGTGTTTGTGTGTAATTGATTTGTAATGTTCATATTCCTCCCATTATTAGGCAATTTATATAAACTGGTTATTCCCCCATGTTTTTTTCTGTCATACTTAATTACAATAAGAAAAATGTTATGTTTTTATGAAGCAAAATTGTGTACCTAATAGCTTTATTTGGAGGGGACATGTAGCTTTAGAATGAAAGCTTTTGGGGGGATAACTGTTTAATATACCATACAATTCACCCATTTAAAGTGTCCAATTCAGTGGCTGTTTTTAGTATATTCCCAGAGTTGTGCAACCATTACCACAGTCCGTTTTAGAACAATTTCATCAATTGAGGAAAAAAACCCCTGTATCCTTTAGCTATTTCTGCCTCTAACACCCTACCCCACCTCCCCGCCACTTTCTTGTCTCTCTTCCCCCGGCTTCTCCAGCCCTAGGCAACCTTGAATCTACTTTCTGTCTCTGCAGATTTGTCTCTGCTGGATCTTTTCTGTAAATGGAATTTTAGAATATGTGGGCTTTTGTGATTAGCTTCTTTCACTTAGCATAACGTTTCCAAGGTTCATCCATGTGAAATCAAAGCTTTTTAAAAGAAATTTGATACTTGGGCGATTATATTAGTGTATGACAAAAATAAATCAGTGGCTCTTTAAAAATGTATATGGTAATTTTTGGGGTTGATTTTAATGTGTTTTTTACATTTTTTGTACTTTTGTCATGGAAGAAATGTTGGATAAAGAGTAATTTGTCAAGTCTCAACTAATTTAGGTTTAATTCATGCTTTGCCCAAAAATTTTGTGTTTAGGCTGCTGAAAGTTTCACATGACCATTGTTAGGAGTCGAATGTCCCATCTGAGTGGAGGAGGATGCGCAGATTTGTCTGACACAGACTCCCTACAGGAATGGATCAACATGACTGGCTTCCTTTGTGCCCTTGGGGGAGTGTGCCTCCAGCAGAGAAGTAATTCTGGCCTGGCAACCTATAGCCCACCCATGGGTCCAGTCAGTGAATGTCAGGGTTCCATGATTTCAGTGATGTCCTCAGAGGGAAACGCAGGTACACCTGTCAGCAAATGTATGGATCAGCTGTTGTCCTTAATGGTGTGTAACCATGAGAAAGTGGGACTTCAAATACAGGCCAATGTTAAGGAACTGGTGGGTCTAGAATTGAGTCCTGCTCTTTATCTGATGCTATTTAACAAACTGAAGAATGCCATCAGCAAGTTTTTTGACTCCCAAGGACAGGTAAAGTGTGCTCTTTTTTATTTTTCACCTTGTTTGAAATAAGGAAGGCTTTTTCTTTCCAATTATTTAAATTAGGTGCTCACAGTTTTTAAAAATTGCCAAAAAATTGCAGAAAGAAGAGTCATCTCAATGTAGGGGTCAGCTTGCTTCTTAGGAACTCTGGTGTGTATGTGTGCCTGAGGGTATACCTGCCTTGTGTATGGGTATGAGTGTCTGCATGTATCTGTATGCTTGTTTGGCTGTGTGCCTGTGGGTGCACTTCTGTGTTTGTGTGTTTAGATCAGTCGGTTGCATCTCTCTAGAGGTCTGTCTTCTGGGCATTGATGGCAAATGATTAATATATTTGTTCTTTCTATAGGTTTTATTGACGGATACCAACACTCAATTTGTAGAGCAAACCATAGCTATAATGAAGAACTTGCTAGATAATCATACTGAAGGCAGCTCTGAACATCTAGGGCAAGCTAGCATTGAACCAATGATGTTATATCTGGTCAGGTAAGCGTTCTACTGAAATGTAGCAGAAACATACTTTAAGAGATCAGAAAAACCTCTTACACATTGATATTGGTAGTAATTGATAAAATAATTTGCCATTCTTTACTGCACACAAACTAGGGTGTGACAGTCAGGTAACCAGAAGGTGTGTATGTTCTCATAAAAATAAATATTGTTTTCAGACTTACATGTAGTTCATTTTATTTGATGACTAAAGTACTTTGAATGCTTTCTCTTTTGTCTATATCTGATAATTTTTTTATCGTCTCTGTGTCTGTATAGGTATGTTCGTGTGCTTGGGAATATGGTCCATGCAATTCAAATAAAAACGAAACTGTGTCAGTTGGTTGAAGTAACGATGGCAAGGAGAGATGACCTCTTATTTTGCCAAGAGATGAAATTTAGGTGAGTTCTCAAAAGAGCAATGTAGGGTCTTGTAAATCTTAATTTGTTGAATGAAGTACAGAAATAGAGTAGATATCTGGTTATTGGTAGGAAGGAAGACATAAAAAGAGAGCAATTTACACGTTTGTGTTTCTCTACGTCTCTCCTCAAATTTCCGTAAGCTTTGTGCCTGTGGCAAGCCTCCATTTTTCTAAAACTGTGCTGTACTTGAGCTAAGAATTTGATTCTGTTTCCAATTTGATACCATAAATAAGGGCCATGTTGGAGGTTAAATATCCACGTTGCTTGTTCCCTTCTGGCTTTTACGTCTGTGACATCAGTATCTCTTTTATAAAGTCGTCATGTCACCTGGGTTATCTGCCAAATTATTTGCACTGTAAGAAATCTTACACAATTAAAGGTGTGTGTGTGTGTGTGGCTTCAAAAAAATTGTTGGCTGTTTCTCTTTTCTCCGCCATTCTTTAGGAATAAGATTGTAGAATACCTGACAGTCTGGGTTATGGGAACATCAAACCAAGCAGCAGATGATGATGTAAAATGTATTACAAGGTAAAAAAGAGAATGACCTTCAAGTATTAGTGGGTTTTCCTGTAAGAATTATAATTACTTCATTACAGCTTTATACTTGTATTTTATGTGTATTTAAATTTTTTAGATGTCAAACTTTTGTGGTTGAAATATGTAAAGATACTAATCTTTATTACTACTTTTTTTTGACTGATAGACTTTCTGTAAAAATAAATGTGCGAGAGCGGTATGTTTGGGAAGTTAGTGTTGTCAGTTTATGAAGAATAGTCTACCGTTATTGGGAAATAAGGTACATAAAGCCTCAGATTGCATTTATGTTATGATTAGATAGAAAAAGGTATTATTTGAGGAACTCATTGTGTTGGTCTTTCTAAAAAATAATTGATTTCCTGATTCAGGCACCAGAGACAGAAAAAAAAGGAAGTAATTAAGTGTAATTAAGTCTGCTTTAATGATAAATGCTTATTGACACATATCAGAAAGTGATTAAACACTATGGACTGTATAATAAGCCTTTACATATGTTTCTTTGACCAAGCCTAGCTTTATAATATGGTCGTCTCTCAGTATCTGTCAGGAATTGGTTCCAGGAACCACCCCCCAAACTCCTGCCCACATCTCACTTCCATGAACACTAAAATCCACAGACTGAAGTCCCTGATACAAAATGTCATAGTATTTGCATATAAACTATGCACATCCTCCCATATATTTTAAATTATCATTAGATTACTTATAATATCTAATAAATATAAATCTTATATAAACACAAGTTGTTATACCATATTGTTTAGGGAATAACGACAAAGAAAAATCTTTACATGTTGAGTACAGATGAAACCCTACTTTTTTTTCCCCCAAATAGTTTCAATCCATGGTTGGTTGAATCCGTGGATACAGAACTCGCTGAGACAGAGGGCCAATTGTACATGCTTCTGATTGAAGATAGTCATTTTGCCAAGATTACTTTGTAGAAAGTTACTATTGTCTTCTCCTCATTTGAGATGATTTTGTATTCTAGGATCTGCATATTAATTCAAATTATTTGGGTTGTGCTAATAATTTGTTTAATGAAACAGGTAGTTCCTAAAGTTTATATCTGTTAATAAGAGGTTTATTTGAGAGGAAGTGAAATAACCTGAAAGATTTATGGTCTCTAATTTTTTTTTTTTCAGAGATTTGGACCAGGCAAGCATGGAAGCAGTAGTTTCACTTCTAGCTGGTCTCCCTGTGCAGCCTGAGGAAGGAGATGGTGTGGAATTGATGGAAGCCAAAGGGGACACAGTTATTTCTTAAGTAAATTTCAGTCACCAAAAAACACAAAGCAAAAGCAAATAAAGCCCCCCGCCGCCACACACACACACACACACACACACACACACACACACACACACTCAAAGACAAAACAAAACAAAAACAAAAAAACAAAAAAGAAAACAAAGAAATGTTCCCCATGCAGGACTAGGATTAGGAAAATAACTGTGTTTTATGATTTTTAAAGAAAATAATATGATCCCTGAAATTTTGCTTATAATAAAACCCAGATTGCTTCACTAAGTCATTTACAAAAGTGACATTGTGTAAGCTGTTTGGACCACTAATTTTATATACTAAACATTAAAAATGACACATTTACCAGGAAACATTGCATCTATTTGATGCTTATGTTATGAAAGGTATGCTAGGCTATATCAGGTATAATCATGCCCAACACAGCATGCTTCATAATGAGTCACCCTGGCTGATTATCCTGAGAGAGGAGAGAAGCAGTTAATCCAGGGCCAGTCACACCGTGCACATGTGATAGTTTTGGAATGTCTGGTTAGCTTTCTAGTTGATACGGCCTTTGCTATGTAAAGGTCAGTCTTTTTATTTCTCAGATACTTCACACTATTTATGAACCTTTTGAGTGACTGCAGTGAAGCTGAAGATGAAAGTGCACAAACAGGTGGCAGGAAACGTGGCATGTCTCGGAGGTTGGCATCACGGAGGCACTGTGCAGTCCTTGCAATGTCAAACTTACTCAGTGCCAGCATAGACGGTGGTCTCATGCACTCCATAGGTGAGATCAAATGAAAGTTTCATATAGAAATACACAGCCTAGAGAACTGGCTTGTAAGATAAGCAAAAATTACTTCAGTAAGGCCATGTTAGTAAATTTGCATCCATTTGTCCACATCAGGTTTAGGGTACTACAAGGATCTCCAGACAGCTACATTTATGGAAGTTCTGATGAAAATCCCTCAACAAGGCACAGAATTTGACACACTTCAGAAACGGTATTGGCTGATGGGTTTGAGCAATTGGTGGAACTGGTCACAGTGATGGGTGATCAAGGAGAGCTCCCTATAGCGATGGCTCTGGCCAGTGTGGTTCCTTGTTCTCAGTGGGTAAGTGCATAGAGTAAGTGGGGAAGAAAAGTGCCTGGCACATAGCAAATCCTTCAGAACATATTTGTTCAATAAATGTTTGTTGAATGAATTGATAAAATTTTAGAGCCAGAAGAAATCTTAGATGTTTAGTTAGGTGACTTTTCAGCTGTAGGGAAGTGGTTGGCACTGCTAGACCTGAATAGTGTCCTATATCATTTCATCCCACTGAAAAATTCCATTTAAACACTGATTAAAAATCACTGATCTACTCCGCTGTCTTCATATATTTGAGAAGGTAATTAAGTTAAACCTAATTTCAGTCAGTTGTTGCAACGCTGGAATTGGAATCCACGATTTGTGCCTGTTTACTACCTCCAGTTTGCTGTTCTTTTCCCCATAATATCTTACACAACTTTTAAAAATGTAAGCACTGTATTTGCATTTGATATTATGATATTGTTTGTTTTAAACACTGAAAACATCATATGGCTATTAGGTCTCTCTCTTAATTTAATGAAAAATTTTCCTCAAATCACATCATTCCTAATACATGTGAAAACGTTGAGAAGGGTGGTGGTTCCTTTCCAGTGTTAAAAGGCTATTTCCTTTTTAGTGTACCAAAAATGGTTTCACTTATAGTAAAGTATAACTAATAAGGTAATCTGTCATTGTAGATTTGTTTCTGCTTAAAGCTGTAGGATATTTGTTACACCTGTACTTAAAGTAAAATTCAAACTCCTTATCCTGTCCTACAAGGCTCCACCTGATTTGGGCCCTGCCTCATCTCTAACATCATCTTATGCCATTTTCCTTCTTGTTCACCAAAGCCACACCAGCTACCTTTCTGTCCCTCCTTGTTAGACTTGTTTCTGCCTTAAGCACCCTTGCTGCTGCTACCACCTGAAATGCTTCTCCTCTGGTATTTTATTTTGGTGAGAACGCCTAGCATGAGATCTACCCTCTAACATATTTTTAAGTGTAGAATACAGTATTGCTATCTGTAGGCAGAATGCTGCACCACAGATCTCTAGAACTTACTTTGTATAACTGAAATTTTATACTGATTGGTTAGCAACAGCGCCAAATCATTGAAATCTTCCTAAAGCCTAAAATTACTTCACAAACGTTCAAATGTTTTGAAAATGACTATTGTGAATTATCTTATTAGGATCTACCTATGATTAGCACTGAAAATACTCAGTAATTTTTTAAATAAAGAATCAGTTAAATTCAAGTAGCTTTAATTTGTTGTTGAGTTTTATATTAAATGACTTTGAGAAGGAATTTTCTATTAGGCCAGATCTCACCTATCACATTATTGTAATCCTGGGACCAGGCAAGAATTAGAGAGCTATGGGCCATGATCCTGGCCGTTGTTGTTACTGCTTGAGGATTGAGGCATCTTTTTATGGCTACCCCTATTCTCTATAAATTTCTTCTTGTGATTAAACAGTGATTTACCAGTAGATCATTTTTCTTGAGTGTACCCCAAACTGCTTTACTACAGGGAGTTACAAGGATGTCATTTAGGTAATTGGAATTTCAGCCCTCATCCCTGTCCCCCTTGCTTTGTATGTAAATCTGGCTGATCTCTGGGTTCTGAACGCCCAGTTCCTTTTCTTCCTGATTTCTCAAAAATCCTATAGTCTTTCTGTTTTTGTCATGTCTCTACCTAGTCTATGTTCAGCATTCACTGAGTTCCCCTGACTGTATGAGAAGAGAGTAGAACTCTTCTGATCATCAGTCTTATTTCTGCTCTGTGCAAATGCTTGTACAAATCAAACTAAAGTATTTGCTGTCATCTTCTGTTTCTGTTCTCTTTCATTTTGTGATGTAATTTGAACTGAATCTTGGAGATTTTGTCTCCTGGTAAAGCCTAGGCCTCTCTTAATAGCTTTCACCGGTTAATCCTTGGAATTAACAGCTATCGTAGACATCGTATATAGTCATCTATCATAAACAATATACGCAGATAAATCTCAGGAGAAATATTAATCAGTCACCTTTGCCTTAATTTAGCAAGTAGTTGTCAACTTTGGGTTTATGTTTTTGCCACTCTTCAGCTATCTACCTGAGAACAAAAATGCACTAACCTGATTTTGTTTTGTTCTCAGGATGAACTGGCTTGAGTTCTGGTTACTCTATTTGGTTCTTGGCATTTACTCTACCAACTGCTCTGGAACATGTTTTGTAAAGAAGTAGAATTGGCAGACTGACTCCATTCAGACTCTCCTCTGAGGCAACAGTTTGGCCAGTAAAATAATGACACTCTGTTTCAAGGTTTGTATCATTCATTTTGTGTGTGTGTGTGCTGAGGTATGTCAAGTAATGATTATGTACAGAATGTGCAGAGCTGATTGTCTTCTTTTAAGGTAAAATGTATGGAGCAGGCATAATGAAGTCCTACTCATGCATTTCTATAGGTATATGGTGCTACCTATCTATAAAAACTCCTGGATGCTTTATTACGAATTGAGATCACATCCTCTGATGGGCAACATGTTAGCTTTGAAGTGGATCCTACCAGTTTTATCATCTTTTCACATAAAAGTGCTCTTTTTTTTTTTTTTGCTAACACTGCATGAAGCAAGGCCCTCATAACTTCTCCTCTTGATCATTAAAATTTGTTTTTAATTATAAAAGTTATATACAAATATGCTTTTCTTTAATGATATCTGTAATTTTTTTTAAGTTATCCTTCTTTTTATCTGCCTTAGATCCAGGGACAGACAGGAGAAGGATGTCTTTGACTTCTACCTCCACAGACCGTTACTAGTTAAGGCTCTTTCCTTTTTCCATGACTTTACATATCACTTTACACAGTCACTTGCATGCTCTGTCACCCAGACTGGAGTGCAGTGGCACGATGGCTCACCGCAACCTCCACCTCCTGGGTTCAAGCGATTCTCGTGCCTCAGCCTCCCAAGTAGCTGAGATTACAGGCGTGCACCACCACGTCCAGCTAATTTTTCTATTTTTAGTAGAGATGGAGTTTCACCATGTTTGCCAGGCTGGTCTGGAACTCCTAACCTCAATTGATCCACCAGCCTCAGTCTCCCAGAATGCTGGGATTACAGGTGTGAGCCACCATGCCCAACCAGAGAATTGTCTGTTTTGAGATTAAAATTTGGGAGTTTTAAGAGAACCACTCAGTAGCAGTGATGGTCTATGAATATTCTAAAATTATGTGAAGAAATTTGTGTGAAAGCATACATCCATTTTTCTAACCTTTATCAGATTTCAAAGAGGTTCCTCATCCCCAGAAGGTTGAACACTATACTGGAATAGTCGAAGCACTCAAATTTTTTCTTAATTCTTTATCTTTTTATAGTTTTAGCTAAAACTTCTATATCTAATTCTAAATTTATATATTTCAGCTAAAAATAAATGGTATTTAGGTTTTAAAGCCATTCTAATAAAGCAGCTATATTTAGCCACCTTCACCAGTTTCCCCTTATTGAAGGGTTAAGGTTGTTCTTCATGCAATAAACACTGTAACATAAAGAAAGCTTCCTGAACTGTGTGTAGTGTAACTGAAGGTGGGACTATATTGTTACACCTCACCGCTTACAAATACTTTATTCTCTAAGATCTAATTTTTACTAACTTCCTATTAGAGATTACAGAAAGCTATTTTGAGATTATAAGCAGTGATAAGAATGCATTTAAAATGTGGACTTCATGAAGCACTGCGTTGAACAGGATGAAGTGAAATAATCCCGATTCCAGAGTTAATCTGGAGTCAGCCATGTGAATTTAGGACAGGAAATATTAATTTATTGAGGCATTGTGCAAAAAATAGTTACGTGATATTCTGCATGTAAATCTGGGTCCCCCACACCAATATCCTTTGAAAGGAAGGTTTATCCTCGGAATCACAAAACATTGAGTGGAATGCTACAGTTTTGTAATCACTGCTACTTTAAACAGCAGTTAGCCACACTAAGCAAGAATAGCTGTAGAGATTAAAATGTTACATTAAGTGTTCTTTAAAAATGAATATATATGGTATATATAAAAATGTAAATTCCAAAATAATATAATTTTCATCTATAACATGATTTAAAGCAGGGGACACTGGGAAGGGATGGGGGCTGAACCCATTTTATGGCACTCTTCCCAGTCTAAGGTACCTTTTACTTTATCTTAATGTAGAATGTTTTATAAAGAGAAAATCAATCCACTTTAAATATTGGGTTCACATTACTTTTCAGGCTGGACAACCATTTCTTGAATTCTTAAATTATTTTTATTTGACAGAATTATACATTGAGGTAGACATAGGGGTTTGCTGTTCTGCTGAGATCCTTTTTTCTTTTAGGTGCCCAAGAATTCCCATCCCTCCATGGTTCAAATAATAGGTAGGTTGTTATAAAGGAAGCTGGCAACAGGCAATAACATTACTTGTAAGTAAGTTTTTTTTTCCTCAATAGGAATCTAAGATTTTGTTTTTTTATAGCAAGCATTTTTTTCTTCAATTCAGTTGTAACTGGTACACAACAAAACATAAATATGTACTATCAGGTATAGGATGTTTTGGGGGTGTGTTGTTGAAAATTTAGTTTCACCTTATAATGTTGACCACACTTTCATGTCTGTTAATCTTAATAAATTATGATCATCTTTGTGTGAAAATTTGGTCTGTTTTCATGACTCCTCAAACTTGCAGTATAGGTGATGATACAGTGAAGATCTGTTTTCAGGTTTCTTCTACCCATCTCATCCATGAGGTTTTTCTTTCCTCTGAGATACCTAAATTGTACTTTAATATGATACAAGACTAGAATTGAGAGGAAACTTTATTTTCTCATGTTTTGGGAGAAGAAAAAATAGAAATGTGTCATTCATGAGGACTGATTGACTCAGAGTTGTTGTGCAAATTTTGACCTTTGAACTCTTTGTTCCCATGCCCCTATTTTAATTCAAACCTTATACTCAAGTCTCAACTTGTTTTTAGGGGGTTAGCCAATGTTTCCCTCAGAACAGTATCAGTGCAGCAGGAAGTGCCATGTTCCTCAGATTTATGAATCCTGACATTGTCTCACTGTATGAAGCAGGGATTTTAGATAAAAAGCCACCACCTAGAATCGGAAGGGGCTTGAAGTTAATGTCAAAGGTGAATTATTTTGATAATCTAGCTATCTTAAATTCCCCTTCCAACTAAATTTTCAGCTTTTCTTACAGTACTTCCTCTTACATTTATATTGGAAATACCCTACGGTTTTCAGTTATGTGTTTTTATTTTGTTTATATTACAAAGGAATTCATTAGTTAGGTACCTGATGGACCTTATTTTCATGAGAATACGTTTTATTATAGCAGATGTCTTGTGTCATGAGGATCATTTTTTGCGTAATCATTCTAGACATTCTGAAACAGACTACAGTGAAGGCTGTAGGATTTTTTATTTTAAGACATTAAACATTTTTAATATGTATTTGTACATGTAAATATAATTATAATTAGGAAGAATAGAAACACTACCTAAAATATAGAATGAGAAATGATTGATTTTAACTACTAGCAGAAATTATATCAAGAAAATTCATATTTTTAAAGAATATATTAATGTATAAACTTCATACAATAAATAATCTGATTATTTATAACCCTGTTTTATTGTGTAAATACTTCAGAGTATTGCCAATCATGTTCTCTTCACAAAAGAAGAGCATATGCGGCCTTTCAATGATTTTGTGAAAAGCAGCTTTGATGCAGCTTGAAGGTAAGCTACTTGCCACTTATTCACTTGCTCTGTTTGAATCAAATATTTTCAGTTTCACATAAATCCATGTACCTGTTTTACATGAAGTTCCGTGTAGGTTTTTTTCTCTTCCTGCTCTAGGTCAAGACATAGCTTGCCTTATTTTATTTTACTATAAAAGACAGTCTTGAAATAAATTAATATTTTTTATAATTTGGTAGTGATTTTCATATTTGAAAACCAAGAGGCATTTTGGACATGTCTAGTTAAATAAAGGATTTGAGGATGGTACAATATGGGGATAAGGAAGAAATAGGATTCCTTTTATTTAAAACTAAAACCAAATTGGTATTGATAATGCATAAGAATGTTTAATAAGGTTTTTATTAGTATCAGAATATTTGTGATACTTAAATTTGGAAGTGTATCTAAACTAAAATGTTATTCTTTAAACCAAGTAATGCAAACACGTAAGATTTTGTTCATGAGTAACTGAACTTTATGATTTTAGAAAACTTTTCTGCTGGATTTCCATAACCAGTTATTTCACTTTATTTCTCTGAGTTATTGGTTTATCTGTAAAGTGGGGATAAACTCTTTGCCTGAGTTGTTTTTAGAGAGAAAAAATGAGATAATTCATAAGAAAGTGCTTTGTAAATTTATGTCTGGAATTCTGCTTTTCATGCAGTGTGAATCTAATTGATCCTTATCATCTAAGCTAGCCTTGTACAACTCTCTCTTCCAGTTTATCATCATTGTAATTGTTACTGACTTTTATTCTTTTAGGAAAATTGGAGTTTAAAAGGTATATTGCTGAATGACAAGCCATGTTGGAAAGAGAGTGAATGTCAGCACAGGATTCATATTCTGGCAGACTGAGGGCCCAAAGAAAGTTAAAAGGAACAAAGTTTTAATACTGGCTTTGACCTAACAGGCTATATATCTTTGGGGAGGTCTTTTGTCTGGACCTTCATTTCCTTATCTGTAAAATACCAGCCTCTTTCCAAAGTTTCATCCATCTCAATTTTGCTGTTCTTTAACTACAGAAGCTGAAGCCAGGTATCAGAAATGGAAAGCCAACTTTCTCCTTGTCCTTTTTACTTTGTCTAATGACAAATCACATTGTGGGAACAAGCCCTCCATATTTGTAATTGTCATCTCAGTTGCTTCACAAAGTTACTTCGTATAAATTTAATTCAAACATAAGTATGGTGTGTCTCTGGTGTTGAAAATTCTAGTGACTTTGCATTTTCTAATGTTTTTTCTTGATATGGCATCTGATTGTCCTACAAGTGATGCAGTAAATCATAGCCTCTCCTTCAGCAGTGACGGCAATGTGCTCGCTTTACATCATCTACTCCGGAACAATCAGGAGAAAATTGGCCAGTGTCTTTCTAGCAACAGGTAAGATTTCCCAGTCATGAGGATAGTGAACATTCTCCATTTTAATTTAGATCAATAAAATTATTGGTCATGAATAGTGCTTTTTAAAAACTTTGCATCTTCTTGGACTAAGAATTATGGTTTAGAAAGAGAAAGTCTTTTTTTTTTTTTTTTCAAAAAAATACAAACAAAAGGTTAAGTCATGTTAAATAATCAACAAACCTATGTAGGTTCCAGTGGTGGTTATTATTATTATTTTCTCAAGTTAAGAAATCACAGATTAGCTCTTTGGGTTTGTATGGCTTGCAAACTGTCATAGACCCAAAGAAGTTCAAATTAGTGTTGGCATTTGAATCTGAAGAACAGCTAATTCATAGGAATTCAGTAATTAAAATATTGTCAGTGTTTCAATTCTATGATAAACTCATTTGTGATACTCTAAGTATATGCAAATAAAGCTTTATATAGAAAATACTGGCCTGGCACTGTGGCTGATGCCTGTAATCTCAGCACTTTGGGTGGCCGAGGTGGGTGGATCACCTGAGGTCAGGAGTTCGAGATCAGCCTAGCCAACATGGTGAAACCCCATCTCTACTAAAAATTCAAAAATTAGCTGTGCATGGTGTCAGGCGCCTGTAATCCTGGCTACTTGGGAGGCTGAGGCAGGATAATTACTTGAACCTGGGAGGCGGAGGTTGCAGTGAGCCGAGGTTGTGCCATTGCACTCCAGCCTGGGCCATAAGAGCAAAACTCCATCTCAGGGGAAAAAAAAAAAAAAAGAAAAAATACTTAAAAATTGAAATTATTAATTTGGGCATTGTTTCATTAGCTCTTATTAGTCTCTTGTGTTAACATAAATTACTTGCTGTTCCATCTAGTTATATAAACTTGTAAAGGGACAAAATTCCTAAGTATGAGGAGTTCCTTACAAAGGAAAAATGAGTCCAAATTATTTTTAAATGCCAATAAAAGTGGTTAGCACATTCACAGGAAAAGTAGTGGACTATGAAGCTAAGGGTAAGCAATTGGGAGATGGGAGTTTAAACCACAGAGCATTTTAATCTTTTATGCATTATTAATGGATTGAAGTAGACATGGGCCTGAGGTCTTTTGGGTGCTGTTTACAAATCAACAGGGACCACCAGCTGACAGTTAAAGGAAAAGCAACAGTTACAAGTTAAAGAAATGTGTACTGCTAAATGTGAACTGCTACTTTTTTCTAAGTAGTTTGCTATATCTAGGGATCATAAAGCTGTTGGAAGATGACCTTTTGATAAATGGCAACACTTCTTGTATACCTCGGTCCTCCAGAGCACAAACCTGTGGCAGATACATACCGGTCCAGCCTTAACCTTACCAGTTAAAAGTTTGAGGAATTTATGATGAGGTAAAGTACAACCTTGAAATGTAGATTGCTTTCTTTTTGGTTGAGAAGCAGAGTTTACCACTAGGCCACTTGTTAGATATGATAGAAGACTATGAGGAAAGATGCATCTAATAATCACATTGCCATGTTTGGGGACCCAACTTTTCTCCTATTCTATATATTATTTATATATATATATATATATATATATATAAAGAATATGTTTTATATGTTGATTGCCATAATAGTAGTAACAAATCATATTTTATCATCTCGCTTTCATAAGTTTTCACATTTAATACCTACCAGGGAATGAAGAAAACATTATTTTCAGATGATAGTTAAGGAAAATGCAACTCAGTGTGAATAACTGGCTTGTGTGAGATCCCACACCTGATTCATAGGTCTTTTGGTTTTAAGTGCAGAACTTTTCTACTACACTATAACACTTTTCAGAACCCTCATAAAGATGAATGGCTTTAACTTCTTTTAGATTAAGGCTCAGAAAATATAGTCTACTTCAGTATTGCTATAAAATTTCTGTGGACATTTGTTTTGAATCCCATTTCATGGCATTTAGCTTGTGAACAAAAAGATCTTCATGGTTAGACACTGACTCTATGATGATACAGTGAGAGTAGTTTGCTGAATCTTTTAAAGTACATTTCACAGTACCTTATGCTTAGTAAGGTCTCCATAGTGTCTGTGAGTTGAATGTTGTGTTCACAGTATCTGCCAAAACAGAAAGAAAAAAACAAAATCTGATGATGAGAAGTTAAAGCTTTGTATATCATATGCCTTGAATTGTAAGTGCCTGTTGTTAGTTGTATTACATATAGGTCATGGTTTTGTACACATAACTCCAAACCATTGATACTGTTAAAAGAATATATGAATATATGAAAGAATGTATAAACATAAGAATGTATGGGTATATAATGTACTTTCCAAATTAATTTTTATTTTTAGCTTTGTTAGATTTTTCTTAGTGTAGCAAACGTTTATTCCTATGTAATTAAGGGCATATTTTCTGTACAGAATATTCATATTACCTAATTGAAAATTATATAATACAAAAATATAATACTATTTTTAGGCCAGGCATGGTGGGTCATACCTGTAATCCCAACATTTTGAGAGGCCAAGGTTGGAGAATCACTTGAGACCAGGAGTTCAAGACCAGCCTGGGCAACATGGTGAGACCTTGTCTTAAATAAATAAATAAATAGGTTGGGCACTGTGGCTCATGTCTGTAATCCCAGCATTTTGGGATGCCAAGGCAGGAGGATTGCTTGAGCCAGGAGTTTGAGACCAGCCTGGGCAACATAGCAAGACTCCATCTCTACAAATAATAAGATATTAACCAGGTGTGGTGGTGCGTACCTGTGGTCCCAGCTACCTGGGAGGCTGAGGTGGGAGGTTTGCTCAAGGCTGAAGTGAACTGTGAATGCACCACTGCATTCCAGCCTAGGCTACAGAATGAGACTTGTCTATAAATAAAGAAATAAGTAAAAATATAAATTAAAAGAAGTAAAAAAAATAAGTAAATAGAAATACATATAAAGATGAGTACATCAAAACAAACAATTTTTAAATTTAACATCACTGAGGGCATCCTGGCCATTTTTCTATTTTTCTAGGAAAATGTTTTTATTACTCCTTTTTTTCTAAGATCCTACCTTTCCTTACAAAGCAGTCTTTTGTGCTTTTGAAGATTATGTGTTCTAATATATATAGTATACTTAGCACAGTATCTGGTACTTGTAAAGTGTTTAATAAATGTTAGATCTTATTTTTGTTCTAAATTCCCACTGATGCTTTTGGAGACCCATTTTCTGTTTTAAAAAAATGAAGGTAGCTTTATAATAGCCTCAGTTTTTTTTTTTTTTTTTTGAGACAGAATCTCGCTCTGCTGCCCAGACTGGAGTGCAGTGGCATGATCTCGGCTCACTGCAAGCTCTGCCTCCTGGGTTCACGCCATTCTCCTGCCTCAGCCTCCCAAGTAGCTGGGACTACAGGCGCTCGCCAGCACGCCTGGCTAATTTTTTGTATTTTTTGTAGAGACAGGGTTTCACCGTTTTAGCCAGGATGGCCTCGATCTCCTGACCTCAGGTGATCCACCGGCCTCAGCCTCCCAAAGTGCTGGGATTACAGGCACGAGCCACCATGCCCAGCCAATATTCTGTTATTTAAAAAAAATTATTGAATTACTCAATATAGAAATCTAAAGAAAGTAAAAAAAAATTAAAAATTGTTTATCCTCCTGCTCAGAAATAATTCAGTTAACGTATGGTGTATAGTCTCCCAGTCATTTATCTATGCACATGTATATGTTTTTCTCCTATCAAATGATATCTAGGTTGTTTCCATTAATATTTTTAAAATGCTGACCTGGTACCAGCAGCATGATGGGCTGAGTTAATACAGTCTCCTTCCCAAATCACAATACTCATAGATACACTAAGTGTAAAAGAAAACATGTATACTTAAAAAAAATTAGGAAGAGTGCAGTAGCTTACGCCTATAATCCCAGCACTTTGGGAGGCTGAGGCAGGTGGATCACATGAGGTTTGGAGTTTGAGAGAAGCCTGGCCAACATGGCGAAACCCCATCTCTACTAAAAAAAAAATAAAAATAAAAATTAGCCAGGCATGTGACGGGTGCTTGTAATCCCAGCTACTTGGGAGGCTGAGGCAGGAGAATCATTTGAACCTGGGAGGCAGAGGTTGCAGTGAGCTGAGATCGTGCCACTGCACTCCAGCCTGGGCGACAAGAGCAAAACTCCATCTGTTAATTAATTAATTAATTAAGTTTATAGCTGAAGGTAGTTTCTAAGCAAATTACCTAGCATACAGTCATTACAGACAAAGAAATGGAAAATATGAAAGAGATTAAGAGATGCAGAAGATAGAATGAGAAGTTCCAAAATATGTCTAGTAGGTGTTCCCTAGAAATTGAGCTCAGTGAGAATGGGAAGAAGTAATATTTGAAAGGGTAAAGGATGAATGTTTTCTAGAGTTGATGAATGACATTAATCTTGAAGTTAAAGAAGCACACTGCGTCTTGAGCAGACTATATAAAAAGTAAACCAGGCTTTAATACATATGGGAACATAATATATGATAAAAGTGGTATTTGAAATCAAGATTAGGATGGACTTTCAATAAATGGTGTTGATAAAACTGAGTAATGATCTGAAAAAATATTTTCATACCATTTATGAGGATAGACTCCCATAAATCAGAAAGAAAAAAAAACATGGGCAAAGCAAGGCCTTTTTCATCCATTCAAAATCCATAAACTAGAAAGGAAAAGATTAATAAAATGAATTCGTTAAAAAATCATAAACTTCTGTCTGACACAAAGAAGTCATGAGTAAAAACAATCCTATGGTTAATATCCTCATCCAGTAGTTCTCTTAGAATAGTCCTAAAAGTGCTTTTGTGGTTCAAAGAGTAATATCTTGAGATTTTTTGTGCATGTTGTCAAATTACCCTTTAGAATGCCTGTTGCTTTTAAAATAATTTTTCATTTTAGCATTTTATTGTTTATCCAATTATGGACTGTTTTACATACTCAGTAGACAACACAAAGCCTCACAGTTACCCTGTTCTTTTTCTTTTAGGCATCAGGTATGTGAAAAAGAAGAGATCAAGGCTTTGAAAACATTAAGTATTTTTTACCAAGCTGGGAATTCCAAAGCTGGGAAGCCAATTTTTTATGTTGCAAGGAGGTACGAAATACTATGTTTTGGTGTCTCTTAACAGAATTTTTTAAATGATAGTAAATATAGAGAGATGGCAAGTTTGGTTTTTCCCGTTTGACTTAACAGGAATTGAAGACAAGTTTACCTGGGAGCATATAGTGGGGTAAATAGCCTGCCTTTCCTAAAATGATGGTCAATATCTAATAACTGCTTTTCAGACTACCCATTTCATATTGGTTTCCCTGTCCTACATCATTTTTTTAAGACTGCCTAAAATGGATTAATTACCAAGAGTTAAAAAACCACAAAGAATCTTTTGTTTTCAAGTATATTCTGATTAAGTACTACTCAACAACATGATAACCGGGAACTTTTTTCAATTTTATTTTATTTTATGATTTTATTTTTGAGATGAAGTCTCGCTCTTGTCCCCCAGCCTGGAGTGCAATGGCACGATCTTGGCTCACTGCAACCTCCACCTCCCGGGTTCCAGCAATTCTCCTGCCTCAGCCTCCTGAGCCCTCCCCTGCCAAATCCTTCCCAGCTTCTGGTAATCATCAGTTTATTCTCTGTCTTCATAAGATCCACTTTTTCAGCTCTCACATATGACTAAGAACATGTAATATTTTTCTTTCTGTGCCTGGATTATTTCACTTAACACAATGATCCCCAGTTATGCCTTGTAGCTGCAAATGACAGGATCCCATTCTTTTTTATGGCTGAATAGTATTCCATTGTGTATACATACCACATTTCTTTATGCATTCATCTGTTATGGGCACTTAGGTTGACTCCATATATTGGCTGTTGTGAATAGGGCTGAGATAAACATGGGAGTGCAGATATCTTTTTGATATATTGTTTTTTGTTTCTTTTGGATGTATACCCATCAGTGGGATTGTGGGCATATAGTAACTCTAGTTTTAGTTTTCTGAGGATCCTCCATGCTGATCCCCATCATGGCTCCTTTATGGAGAGTGTGTGAGGGTTCTCCTTTCTCAGTATGTTCACTGGCCTGCTGCCTTAGACATTAAATCAGGTGCTACTGCGGTATTCCGAGTTGTAATTAGTTTTTTATTTTGACATCTATAAATCTTCAGGCAGCCAGACAGCTTGATAAATTTAAGCCAAATACAGTTTTTCTAGGAGTGGTGAATTAATGGGAGAAGTGGCCAGATCATCCTTGTGTGTAGGTGTGAGCATGTCTGAGTGTGGCGAGGGAAGGTGGTTGGGTAGAGAGTGCTGTGAGGGAGTGAGGTGGGAATCCCCCTAGCTAGGATTGAGTCATTTTTTTCTTCTTCCATGCAAAATGCATATTCCCCATTGTGGATTTCTGAGTGTGTGAGTGATGAAGAAATAGGGCATGTGCCTTGACCCAGTTGCAGCTATTGCCTCCATGTGCCTGAGGTGCCTTCCTCATACTCTAGCATGTTACTGGGCAGACAGTCAGTATTAGCACATGCTGCTGGTCCTTGTGAGCACAGCACGAAGACGAGAAATGGCTGGCAGAAGTTTGGCTTGAGGACCAATAGATGTAATAAATGTAATACAGTTAGTTTTAGAACATAATTCCATAATTTGATTCGGGTCAAATAAATCATTTTAACCAAAATTTCTATTGTGGAAGAAAATCTTTCAAGAATTATGAAATTTGTGTCTCAGAATTGGCTCATTTAAGAAAAATAATACTGTTCAAATGTGCGAAGGCTGTCAAAGGGTTTGTTGTATAGCTTTGCATTGGCTGAGTTTTCAATGTTTAGACATTTGAGTATAAGAAAACTGCTACACTAAAAGTAATAGACATAAAAATAAAAAATAAACAGCTGTGTAATGTTATCAGGCTAGCTAGATGTTATGCATCTGTGATTCTGAGGCTTCTTTGCAGCATTTGGTTCATGGAGGTTCTGGTAAGACCAGCTTGTGAGCGTTGATGTTTCAGAGCAGGTTATTTTCTATGGTGTGAAAGATGCAGTCATTGCCAAGAGTCACAAAAAGTGAGGCTGGGAAGAGGATACACTGAATAAAGTTTTAAGGAAGTTTAAGAAAGCACACACCACATTGCCATTTGCTTTCTTAAAGTTTCAAGGAAAATTTCTAAAAAATACGTTCGTATGGTTTGTAAGGTTCACATGAGATAAGGAAGTAAATAGAGCACTTAGCATAGGAATTGGAAAAAAAATACTTATACTTTCAGACATAGAAGACATACAGTTAACAGATTTCAGAGTCAAGCACTGGTTAGATAAAGTCAAATGCTCTCTTTAGATGTGTACTGCAAGGCATTAGCCAGGTGCAGTGGCTCATGCCTGTAATCTCAGCACTTTGGGAGTCCAAGGTGGGTGGGTCACCTGAGGTCAGGAGTTTGAGACCAGCCTGGCAAACATGGTGAAACCCCGTCTGGACTAAAAATACAGAAAATTAGCTGGGCGTGGTGGCACACACCTGTACTCCCAGCTACTTGAAAGGTTGAGGCAGGAGAATTGCTTGAACCCAGGAAACGGGGATTGAAGTGAGCTGAGATCACGCCAGTGGACTCCAGCCTGGGTGACAGAGAAAGACGCCGTCTCAAAAAAAAAAAAAAAAAGAAAAAGAAAGACAATATTGGTGTTTTAGATTATAAGAATACAATTTTGATCATAATCATTTACTGTTCTTTGTCACGAAGAACTACTGATCTGTCTTTGTAAACCTGCAAACCTGATCATTGAGAAGTCTGCATCACTATTGATGACAACTTATGGTTCTTCATTAAGTGACCCAGTTCATTTGCTGGAAGATTGGCTGCCTGTTAGCGCAGAAAAAGATCCTTTTTCTAGTGAATATCATTGCAAAGTGAAACAGGAAGAGTGGAAAGGTACAGTCTGTAGGCTAGCATGCGATGCACCATGAAACTCATCATGAAAAGGACATGTGTGTCATTAATCATGGCCACATTGATCACGGCCCCACTCTCTAGGGAAGAAGCCAGTTTTTTCCCTTCCCTGAGAGATACCATAACTGAGCCGCCATCAGTATCTTCAGCCTTCCCTTGGAGGAGGATGAACTCGACCTCGATGGTAAGTGATTGATGGTTGACTTAAGGGAATTTGGCTGGCCAGGAATTTGGCTGGCCAGAGAGATGTCCTTCCTCCCTCACTGCTTCCTCATGGAAATGTTAATGAAGATTAAACAAATTAATATATGAAAGTAATACCTGGAACTTAGTAAATCTCAGTGAATTTTAGTCACTATTACTGCTCCTGTGGACCTCAAGTATCAAGCAATGTGACTACGATCAGTAGTGAACTAGCCTTTCTGTAGGCATATTCCTTTGTTTCTCTTGGCTAAATACCTGGTAGTAGAATGCCTAGTGCATATGGTAAGTGCATGCTCAACTTTTTAATACACTGCCAAGTTGTTTCCCAAAGCAGTTGAACCATTTTCCATTTTCAGCAGTAGTGTATGAGAGTTTCAGTGGCTCTATATCTTGACCAGCTTTGGTATGGTCCATCTTTAATTTTAGCCATTCTGATACATATGCAGTGCTATATCATTATATATATCCTTTTTTGAGACTGAGTCTTGCTCTGTCGCCCAGGCTGGAGTGCTGTGGCGCGATCTTCGTTCACTGCAAGCTCCACCTCCCAGGTTCAAGCGATTCTCCTGCCTCAGCCTCCCAAGTAGCTGGGAGTACAGGCACCTGCCACCATGCTCAGATAATTTTTTGTATTTTTAGTAGACACAGGGTTTCACCATGTTGGCCAGGCTGGTCTCGAACTCCTGAGCTCAGGTGATCCACCCGCCTTGGCCTCCCAAAGTGCTGGGATTATAGGCGTGAGCCACGGCACCCAATCTAGAGCATCTTTTCTTGTGCTTGCTTCTGTCTGTATGTCTTCTTTGGTGAAGCATCTGTTTAAACCATTGCCTATTTTTTATTAGGGTGATTTATCGTCTTACTATTGAACAGTAAGAGCTCTTGTATATTTTGGTTACAGATCTTTTGTTGGATGTATGTTTTGCAAGTGTTTTCTTCCAGGTGAGCACTGCCACTTCATTTCATTAACAATGATGTTGAAATAGGAAAATGTGTATTTTGGGGGAGTCAACTACTCTTCTCAAATCTGCCTGAATAGATTTATCCTTTAGGCCTCTTTTGTGGCAAGACAAATTCATAGCTGAGAAATTTATATGGGAGGAACAAAAAAGTAACTGTACCACTATCTAATATTGAGTACCAGTATTAGTGCAATTATTTAATAATGTAACTTCTTGTTAGTATAACATTAGTGAAAAATAATTATGAAATCTTTAGTATGTTTATCTTCTTCCATAAAATAAATTCATGGCCAGTGGGGTGTCTCACGCCTGTGGTCCCAGCACTTTCGGAGGCTGAGGTGGACAGATCACGAGGTCAGGAGTTCGAGACCAGCCTGGCCAACGTGGTGAAACCCCATCTCTACTAAAAATACAAAAGTTATCTGGGCTTGGTGGTGGGTGCCTGTAATCCCAGCTGCTCGGGAGGCTGAGGCAGAAGAATCGCTTGAGCTTGGGAGGCGGAGGTTGCAGTGAGCTGAGATCACGCCACTGCACTCCATCTTGGGCAACAGAGCAAGACTCTGTCTCAAAAAAATACATTAATTAATTTAAAAAATAAATTCATCAAATAACGACAATCACGAGAGTGACTACAAAAGATGGGCGTGTCCTCAGAGTCTGGCCTCAGTGAGTTTGGAGTGGTGCATACCAGGAGCAGCAGAGGTTCCAGGGAAAATTGTAGACAGAGGAAACAAACCACCATGAAGGAGAGTCAGTGGCAATAATCATTACCAATGAAGAACTGTAGAGTCGTATTTCAAGAATGAAGGTGAGAGCCGGGTGTGGTGGCTCATGCCTGTAATCCTAGCACTTTGAGAGGCCAAGGCAGGCAGATCACCTGAGGTCAGGAGTTTGAGACCAGCCTGGCCAACATGGTGAAACCCTGTGTCTACTAAAAATACAAAAATTAGCCGGGCGTGGTGGCAGGTGCCTCTAATCCCAGCTACTTGAGAGGCAGAGGCAGGAGAATCACTTGAGCCTGGGAGGCAGAGGTTGCAGTGAGCCGAGGTCACGCCACTGCAGTCCAGCCTGGCGACAGAGTGAGACTCTGTCTCAAAAATAAATAAATAAATAAATAAAATTGAGGTAGTCATTTACAGAAAAATATAATCTTTAAGACTTAAGAGCATTTAAGACCAACAAAGTTTCAATAAAGAAATGTTAATAGAGAAGGTTAGCAAGAAAGGAAAAGATTAAGGAGTGCAGTTATGAATAGTTAGAATCTAGTAGCTAGTAAGCAGATGACACATCTGAAACTCTAATCACGTATTTGCAACAATAAGAAAGCTGTATGTAAAACAACTTCTGTTTGTGGTTGGTGGAATTAAAGGAAACAAGACAGAATAAGCGAACAACTGAAAATAAATACAAAAATGAGGTGATCAGAGTGAAGGCATTCTACAGTGTTTGCATTATTTTGTGGAGGGAGTTAAAATTAGCTTAATTTTAGCCTTTGTTAAATTGTAATGCAAAATGCAGTGTAAAATTTCAAGGAAAACAACTAAAAGAATAGTAAAGATTCCAAACCAATAGAGGTTTAATTTCCAAACCAATCAAAGGAAAAAAGATGGAATTGGTGGGTGAGGGTAGAAGGATTTAAATTATTCAAAAGAGACTGGGCAGAGTGGTTCACACCTGTATTCCCAGCAATTTGGGAGGCCAAGGCAGGTGGATCACCTGGGGTCAGGAGTTCAAGACCAGCCTGGCCAACATGGTGAAACTCCTTCTATTCTAAAAATACAAAGAAAAAAATTAGCTGGGCGTGGTGGCTTACACCTGTTGTCCCAGCTACTCAGGAGGCAGAGGCACGAGAATCACTTGAATCCGGGAGGCAGAGGTTGCAGTAAGCCGAAATCATGCCGCTGCACTCCAGCCTGGGGAACAGAGTGAGACTCAGTCTCAATAAATAAATAAATAAATTCAAAAGAAAAGCAGGAAGAGAGAGGGAAAAAAACTAGATAAAATGGACAAGTAGAACACATAAAATAAAGTGAAAGGATAAGGATATAGAAGATTCGAATAGATTATTTCCCACTTTGATTTTAATGGACATATATAGTGATTAGAGAATATTATGCAGCCATTTAAATTGCATATGTAATAGTTACCACTTTACTTGGCATAAAGCCAGTTTTAATAAATTTCAAAGAATTAGTAACAAAAATAATTGAGAAAAACTTCCAGAAACTGGAAAAGGATAATGTGCTTTTGTTATAAAAGTTCATGTTATGTTGAAATGGATAAATGGAAAACAACAAAAACAAAAAGCATACCCAGAAACATGAAGGTCACATTTTATATCACCAGAATGATATAAACTGATTTGCTTCAAAGGAATGAGAGAGACTTTGATTTGATCAGGGTGGTGACATCAGAAGCAAAAAGAAGTGCAGAAATCAATAGTGAGTTCTCACAGAAAAGAACATTGGAAATAGAAATTTACAGTCAGCCAAACTATCACTGAAACCAACCTAAGACAGAATTTATTCAGAAGTATATACTACTGACTACCTGTAAACTCTGTGAGGGGAAAAAAAACCAAAAAAACAAAACTGGAGGATGCACTCCCTAAAGATGAGAAAATGAATTCAAAGAAATGCATTAAAAATACTAATCAGGCTGGGTGTGGTGGCTCACACCTGTAATCCCAGCACTTTGGGAGGCCGAGGTGGGTGGATCACCTGAGGTCAGGAGTTTGAGACCAGCGTGGCCAACATGGTGAAACTCCGTCTATACTAAAAATACAAAAATTAGCCAGGTGTGGTGGTGTGCACCTGCAATCCCAGCTACTCGGGAGACTGAGGCAGGACAATCACTTGAACCGAGGAGGCAGAGGTTATAGTGAGCTGAGATTGTGCCACTGCACTCAAGCCTGGGCCACAGAGTGAGACTGTCTTAAAAAAATAATAATAATAATCAATAGTCGGCAAAAACAAAGAAGTAAAAATAATAGTAAAATTTGATTAAATCTGAATTGGTGCAAATATTTAAATAAATCAGCTACATGAGACATCTCAAATGTTATCAACATAGGGAGTAATATAGGGTGGAGCAGGTGAAGTTTGCTATTGTATTTTATTTTCTAAGTATGGATAGAATTTAGGAATATTAATAGTGTTTTGTACAGTTAAGCTAACAGCTAGTCAGTTACATTTGGATTTTCTACCTACACAGTCACCTCTTATGGAGATAATGACAGTTGCTTTTTTGTTTTCATTGAATTATTTTGCTTTTATTGATTTTTAAATTTTCTCCTGTGTACTGGTAGGACTTGCAGTGAGCAGAGGGATGACTGAATAGAATGAGAAGCAGATTTGCCCTAAGCAGTTCCCAACTTGACTTTTCCCTTTAGCTTAGTGATTTTGGGGTCCAAAGATTTGTTTTCCTTTCACACAGCATTGTTTACATTAGCCAAGATTTAGAAGCAACATGTCAACAGATGAATGGATAAAGCAAATGTACATACACACCCCCAGGAGTACTTTTCACTTATAAAGAATAAGATCCTGTTATTTGCAACAACATGGATGGAACTGGAGATCATATGGTAAGACAAATAAGCCAGGCACATAAAGGCAAAATTTTTTCTTACAAGAACTTTGGCTATTCTGAGTCTTTCGTGGTTCTGTCTGCATTATAGGATTGTTTTTCCTGTTTCTGTGAAGAGTATCGATGTTTTGATAGGGTTGCATTAAGTCTGTAGATTGCATTGGTTAATATAGACACTAAAAATACTGATTCTTATTCATGAACATAAAATACATATTTTTGTCTTTTTAAATTTCTTGCATCAATGTTTTATAGTATTCATTGTAGAGATCTTTAACGTCTTTGGTTAATTCCTAGGTATTTAATTTTAATTTGAGGCTATCGTAAATGGGACCACTCTCTTGATTTCTTTTTCACATTGTTCACTGTTGGCATATAGAAATGCTGCTAACTTTTTAATCCTATATCTTGACTAAAATTGTGAGTTCTCATAGTGTTTTAGTGAATTAGGATTTTCCAAATATAAGACCACATCATCTGCAAACAAACATAATTTGACTTCTTCCTTTCCAATTTGCTTGCCCTTTATTTTTTCTCTTGCTAATTGCTCTAGCTGCCATGTGTTGAATAACAGTAGTGAAAGTGTGCATCTCTGTCATGTTGTCAATCTTAGAGGAAAAGCTTTTCATTTTTCCCCATTTAGTATCATACTATATGTGATATCTATATATCTATATATAACTTTTATATGCTGAGGTATGTTTCTTTTTTTATTATACTTTAAGTTTTAGGGTACATGTGCACAATGTGCAGGTTAGTTACATATGTATACATGTGGTATGCTGGTGTGCTGCACCCATTAACTCGTCATTTAGCATTAGGTATATCTCCTAAAGCTATCCCTCCCCCCTCCCCCCACCCCACAACAGTCCCCAGAGTGTGATGTTCCCCTTCCTGGGTCCATGTGTTCTCATTGTTCAACTCCCACCTATGAGTGAGAATATGTGGTGTTTGGTTTTTTGTTCTTGCGATAGTTTACTGAGAATGATGATTTCCAATTTCATCCATGTCCCTACAAAGGACATGAACTCATCATTTTTTATGGCTGCATAGTATTCCGTGGTGTATATGTGCCACATTTTCTTAATCCAGTCTATCATTGTTGGACATTTGGGTTGGTTCCAAGTCTTTGCTATTGTGAATAGTGCTGCAATAAACATACATGTGCATGTGTCTTTATAGCAGCATGATTTATAGTCCTTTGGGTATATACCCAGTAATGGGATGGCTGGGTCAAATGGTATTTCTAGTTCTAGATCCCTGAGGAATCGCCACACTGACTTCCACAATGGTTGAACTAGTTTACAGTCCCACCAACAGTGTAAAAGTGTTCCTATTTCTCCACATCCTCTCCAGCACCTGTTGTTTCCTGACTTTTTAATGATTGCCATTCTAACTGGTGTGAGATGGTATCTCATTGTGGTTTTGATTTGCATTTCTCTGATGGCCAGTGATGGTGAGCATTTTTCCATGTGTTTTTTGGCTGCATGTATGTTTCTTCTATAGTTTTGAGGGTTTCTTTCATGAGGAGATATTAAGTTTTGTCAAATGATTTTCAGGATCAATTAAAATGATCATGTGGTTTTTGTTCTTTCTTTTGTTGATATGGTATATTACATTAATTGATTTGCATATGTTGAAGTATCTTTGCATCCATGAGATAAATCCTACTTGATGATGAGGAATAATAAACTTTTAATCTGTTGCTGAATTTTACTTGCCAGTATTTTTATGAGAAATTTTGCATCTATTGCTGATATTGGCCTATAGATTTTTTTGATATGCATTTGTCTGATTTTAGTATGAGAGTAATGCTTGCCTTACAGAACGAGGTTGAAAGTATTTCCTCCTCCTCTGTTTTGAAATAGTTTAAGTGGGATTGCTATTAGTTTTATACATGTTTTGTCAAATTCAGTGAAACCATCAGATTTCAGGCTTTTCTTTGATGGGAGGCTTTGTATTATGGATCTCATCACGTCTTGTTTGTGTATTCAGGTTGTGGATTTCTTAATAATTCAATCTTCTTAGGTTCTATGTGTCTAGAAATTTATCCATTTGTTCTAGATTTTCCAATTTATGGCATCTATCTGCTCATAGTACTCACTAATGATCTTTTGAATTCCTGCAGTATAAGTTGTAGAGTTGAAATGTCTCCTTTTTCATCTTTGATATTATTTGAGTCTTTTCCTTTTATTCTTTTATTTATTTATTTGTTTTTGAGATGGAGACTTGCTCTGTTGCCCAGGCTGGAGTGCAGTGGCTCGATCTCAGCTTACTGCAACCTCCGCCTCCCGAGTTCAAGCAATTCTACCTGCCTCAGCCTCCTGAGTAGGTGAGATTACAGGCGCCCACCACCACGCCTGGCTAATTTTTGTGTTTTTTAATAGAGACGGGGTTTTGCCATGTTGGCCAGGCTGATCTTGAACTCCTGACCTCAGGTGATCCAGCCGCCCGCCTCAGCCTCCTAAAGTCCTGGGATTACAGGCATGAGCCACTGCCTGCTGAGTTTTTTTTTTTTTTTTTTCTTAGTCTGAGTAAAGGTCTGTCAGGTTTCTTTTTTTTTTTTTCCAAAAAACAACTTTGCATTTTATTGACCTTTTGTATTTTATTTCAAATTCATTTATTTCTGCTTTGATCTTTATTATTTCTTTTCTTCTAATTTTGGTTTGGTTTGCTCTTGTTTTTCTAGCTCTCTAAGATATGTCATTAGGTTTTTTTTTTTTAAGTGTCAATTGTTTTGGAAATACAGGTGGTTTTTCATGACATGGATAAGTTCTTTAGTGTGTTTTCTGAGATTTCAGTGCACTTGTCACCTGAGCAGTGCACACTGTCCTTAATATGTAGTTTTTTATCCCTCACCCGCCTCCCAGCCTTCCCCCTCAAGTCCCCAAAGTCTTTTACATTATTCTTATGCCTTTGCATCCTCATAGATTAGCTCCCACTTATATGTAAGAACATACGATATCTAGTTTTCCATTTCTGAGTTATTTCACTTAGAATAATGACCTTCGGCTCCATCCAAGTTGCTGCAAATGACATTATTTTGTTAAGTGTTCCCATTTCACCACATCCAATGCCAACATCTGTTGTTTTCTTGACTTTTTTTGGCCTACAAAAAATGGCCATTTTTGTAGGAGTTATTTGATATCTAACTGTGGTTTTCATTTGTATTTCCTTGATTATTGATGTTGAGCATTTTTAGGTTGTTATTAGCTGTTTGTATATCTTCTTTTGAAAAAATATATATTCATTTTCTTTGCCTACTTTTTGATGGAATTATTATTTTGCTAATTTCTTTGAGTTCCTTATAGATTCTGGATACTAGCTTTTTGTCAGATGTGTAGTTTGCAAATATATTCTGCTACTCTGTGGGTTGTCTGTGTACTCTGCTGCTTATTTCCTTTGCAGTGCAGAAGCTTTTTAGTTAAATTAGGTCCCATTTATTTATGTTTGTTTTTGTTGCATTTGCTTTTGGGGTCTTAGTCATGAATTCTTTGCCTAAATCAATGTCGAGAAGAGTTTTTTTTCTTATGTTATCATTTAGAATTCATATGCTTTCAGGCCTTAGATTGAAATATTTGATCCATCTTGAATTGATTTTTGTATAAGGTCAGAGATGGGGATCCAGTTTTATTCCTCTGCGTGTGGCTTGCCAGTATTTCCTAGCACCATTTATTGAATAGGGTGTTCTTTCCCCAATTTGTGTCTTTATATGCCTTGTTGATGATTAGTTTAGTTGCCTGTGTTTGGCTTAATTTCTGGATTCTGTATTTTGCTTCATTGGTCTGTGTGTAAATTTTAATACCAATACCATGTTGTTTTGATAACTATAGCCTTGTAGTATAATTTGAAGTAGGGTAATGTGATGACCCCATATTTTTTATTTATTTGTTTGGTTAGTATTACTTTGGCTATGTAGGCACTTTTTTGATCCATATTAATTTTAGGGTTTTTTTTCTAGTTCTGTGAAGAATACTGGTGGTATTTTCATGGAAATTGCATTAAATCTGTCATGAAGTTGTTCATTTGAATTTTTTTATGTAGACACTTTTAGTTATAAACTTTTAGTACTGCTTTTACTGTAAATCCTAAGTATTTCCATTGTGACATATTACAGAAATATTTCAATTTATTTATTAATATCCCCATTGACCCACTGGCCTTTCAGGAGCATATTGTTTAAATTCTATGTGTTTGTATAGTTTCAAAAATTTGTCTTGTTATTGATTTCTAGGTTTTTTTATTGTAGTCACAAAAGATGCTTGATATTATTTTAATTTTTAAAATGTGTTAAGACTTGTTTTGTGACCTAACATATGGTCTATCCATGAGAATGATTCATGCACTGCAGAGCAAAATGTGTAGTCTGAAGCCATTGGATAAAATGTTCTGTAAATATCCATTGTGTCCATTTGGTTTATAGTGCAGATTAGGCCTGAGATTTCTTTGTTGGTTTTCTGTCTGGAAGATTTATCCAATGCTGAAAGTGTGATGTTGCATTCTCCAGGTATTATTATATTGGAGCCTGTCTCTCTCTTTAGCTCTAATAATACTGGCTTAATATATCTGAGTACTTCAGTGTTGGATGCATATGTATGTAACATTCTTACATCCTCATGCTGAATTAAACTCATTATTATTATAGAGTGACCATCTTTGTCTCTTCTTCTAGTTTTGTCTTGAAATCTATTTTGTCTGACATAAGTGTAGCAACTACTGCTATTTTTGTTTGTTTTCTTTGACATGGAATTTTTTTAAATCTTTTTAATCTATGTGTTTATAGGTGAAGTGTGTTTCTTGTAGGCAACAAATCGCTGGGTCTTAATTTTTGTATCCATTTAGCCACTCTGTGTCTTTTGATTGGAGAATTTAGTCCATTTACATTCAGTGTTGTTATTGATTATATAAAGACTTACTCTTGCCATTTTGTTCTTTGTTTTCTGGTCTTGCTATCAGCAGCAAGAGGGAACCTGAAAGTAGGTAGCCATCTGTGAGGCTGAGTCTGGGATTTTTATGGGTTTAAAACAGGAGAATGCATGCTGATTGGTTCATGGGTGGGCTTGGAAAAGACACCATTCAATTGGTTAAAAGGCATCATTCTCAAAGAACCAATAGAGAGCAGGTTAGACAGGGATGGAAGTTCTCACTCTAGTCCATGAATTCTTTCTGGAACTGGTAGCTCAGTTTTCAGGCTTTTTAGACTGTTGTTTCCTTGAAGGTCGAGTTTCACCAGTGCACCCATCCCTGTCTGCCTAGGAGTTTGTCTTCTGTTGCTATCAGTAGGACTGCAGTGGGTCAGACCTGAAACCAGCACAGCACTTGATCACACCCATGGTGAGCTGTAACCCTACCTGGTACCACCAGTAATTGCTCAAGGTCTTGGGGCTTTATAATCTGTAGGTGGTAAGCCAGCCAGGTTTGTATCCTTTCCTTCAGAGTAGTGAGTTCCCTCAGGTTCTGGGCAAGCCCAGTGGTGCCATCCAGGAGCCAGGGGCTGGAGTCAATAACCTTAGGAGTCTACTTTGTGTTCTATTGTACTGTGGTAGAGCTAGCAATTAAACCATGAAATTCGGTTCTTCCCATTTTTCCCTCCTTACTCAACAGGCAGAGGGGCCTCATCCTATTGCTGCCATCACCACAGGCCCATCGGGAATACTGCCAGGCTTCCACCAATGTTCTCTTAAGGTTCAAGGCTCTTTAGTTCACTTATAGTGAATGATGCTTGGCCTGGTACTCATCCTTTTGGTCAGTGGTGTCCCTTCTGTCCCAGTACAGGTCCAGAAGTGCCATCCAAGTGCCAAGACCTGGAATAAGGGACCCCAAGAGCCCACTGGTGCTCTTCCTCTCTTTGGCCATGCTGGGACCTAAGTTGCAAGATGAAGTTCTCTAGTTTTTCCTCTACCTTTTTCAGTGTCTCCCTGTAGCCACCACAGTTGTGAATGTGCCGAGTCTCACCTGATTCTAGCAAGCCTCAGAGTCTCAATGAAAGCTCACAGCAAACTACCTGGTTATCACTGCAGGTTATTCCAGGCCAAGGGCCCTTTACTTAGCAGTTGATGGGTCTTGTTAGTACCGGATTTCTTCATTCAAGGCAGCAGATTTCCTTATAGTCCAGTATGTACCTAGAAATTTTAATTAGGAGCTAGTGGCTGAGAAGGGTGTTTTATAACTCTGACTGGTGGCCTTGCTGGTATCCAAAATACAAGACAAAGTCCTGTTTACTCTTTCTGTCTTCTTAAGTAGATGGAAGTGGTCTCTTGAATCTGTGAGCTGTGCAGCCTCAGTTTGGAGGAGGGGTGGTATAAGAACTCTCTTAGCTGCCCCAGCTTGTATCTTAGTAGGTAATGTGGCCCCCAAGTCCACTGGCTCTAAGCCCAGTTCAGCATGACACCTGGGAGTTGCTGTCCTTGTGACCTAGACTGTTTTAAGTTTCTTTAGGGCCCCAGAGCATTTTAGACTATGGTGGTGAAGCTTGCCAGAACTCAAGTTCCAATCACTGGGAGGGTGATTCCCCTCTGTCCAGGGCCAGTTGAAACACACCCTCTGTGGGCAGGCATCAGCTGAGTTCATTCCAGTTTTGCTTTCTGCTATGATAGGGCAGCACTGAGTTCAATGCTCACAATCCCAGTGCTCTCCCTCTCCCAAGTGTACAGATTCTGTCTACATAGCATGTGACTACTGCCAGGGCATGAGTGAGGAGTGGCATTAGTGATTCAAGACTGTCTTTCCTACCCTGTTTTAGTGCCTCTTTGTGTACTGCAGGGTTAAAACCAGGTACTGTGAGTGCTCGCCTTTATTCTTATGAAGGTTTTTGTTTGTTTTTTAATAGATAGTTGTTATATTGGTGTCCTTCCAGGGGAAATGATCACTGGAGCCTTCTATTTAGCCATCTTGCTCTGTCCTCTGTTGGTTTTCTACTATGGCATTGTGCTCATGTTCTCAGCTTGGTAAAATTTCATATTAGATTTGTAAAGTATATTCAGCTAAATTCAGTATGTAGAATAATTAGTTATTTTTACTACTTTGAGCTATATATTCTTATTACAACCAAGGCATTTTACCAGAGCAAGGCATAGAAGAGTCATTCAAAAAAGCAACACTAGGAAAAGCAACACTGGGAAGATATGAGAGCTGTGGCCTTGAAAATTTATGCTTATGGAAAAACTGGGAAAGTATAGGTGAAGGACAAAAAGAATGTTATAATTTATGTAGCCAATATTTGACAACTTCTCATAACAAAAATTTAACTGTGAAAGGAGATGAAGAACATAGAATATTTCTGAAGAAGCCTCAGTTTCTGCCAGCTACTCCTACAGAACCATGTATTCCTGTGAGTAAATATCAACATCAATTTTTGGAATCTGTCTTTTGTAATAAAAATCAGATAAATTTTAGCCATGACTCAAATATTAGTAAACATCAGAATACTCATTTTCTAGAAAACTATTACAAATGTAATGAATGTGAGAAAGTGTTTTATCAATCCTCAAAGTATCCATATTCAAGAAAAGCCTTACAACCCTAATGAATGTGGTGAAACTTCTAACCCATCCTCAAAACTTACTCAACATCGAAGAACTTATATTGGAGAGAGCTCACAAAGATGTAATAAAAAATGTATAATAGTCTTTAGTCAGTCACATCTGAAGAGACATAAGATAATTAACACTGGAGAGAAATCAGTAAAATGTAAAGAACGTGGCAAAGCTTTTACCAGGGGCTTACAACTTGGACATCAGAAAATTCATACTGGAGAGAAACCTTACAAATGTGAAAAATGTGACAAAGCCTTTAAGAAGAGCTCACACCTTGCTCAACATCAGAGAATCCATACTGGAAACAAACCTATCAAGTGTAAGGACTGTGGCAAAGCTTTTAACAGAGGCTCATACCTTACTTAACATCAGAGAATCCATACTGGAGAGAAAGCCTTCAAATGTAAAGAATGTGGCAAAGCCTTTAATAGAAGCTCATACATTACTCAGCATCAGAGAATTCACACTGGAGGGAAACCTTTCAAGTGTCAAAAAATGTGGCAAAGCTTTTAACAGAGCTTCACACCTTACTCAACATCAGAGAATACATACTGGAGAGAAACACTTCACACATAAAGAATGTGGCAAAGCCTTTAACAGGGGCTCACACCTTACTCGACATCAGAGAATCCACACTGGAGAGAAGTCTTTCAAATGTAAAGAATGCAGCAAAGCTTTTATCTAGGGCTCACACCTTACTCAACATCAGAGAATCTACACTGGAGAGAAATTCTTCAAATGTAAAGAATGTGGCAAAGCTTTTACCAGGAGCTCACACCTTTCTCAATATCAGAGAATTCATACTGGAAAGAAACCTTTCAAATGTGAAGAATGTGGCAAAGCTTTTAACAGACACTCAACCCATACTCAACATCAAATAATTCATACCAGATAGAAACTCTTCAAGTGTAAAGAATGTGCCAAAACCCTAAACTGGTGCTCACACCTTACTCAACAATTCTATCTTTTATACAATAAATTACAGTTAACTATAGTTGTCCTATTGTGTTACAAAACACTAGATCTTATTTCTTCTATTTTTCTTAATATTTAATTAAAATATTATTTCAGGCTGGACATGGTGGCTGATGCCTGTAATCCCAGCACTTTGGGTCAGTGAGGGAGGATCACTTGAGCTCAGTACATTGAGGCTGCCTTCAGCTATGATTACGCCACAGCACTTGAGCTGAGGACAGAATGAGACCCTGTCTTTAGAAAAAAATAGGCTGGGTGTGGTGGCTCACACCTGTAATCCCAGCCCTTTGGGAGGCCTAGGCAGGAGAATCTCATGAGCGCAGGAGTTTGAGACAAGCCCATGCAACATAATGAGACCCCATCTATACACAAAATTTAAAAATTAGTTGGGCATGGTGGTGTGCAGCTGTGGTCCCAGATACTTGGTAGCCTGAGGTGGGAAGACTACTTGAGCCTAGGAGGTAGAATCTGCAGTAAGCCATGATCATGTTACTTCACTCCAGCCATGGTGATAGAATAAGATCTGTCTCAAAGAAACCAAAAAAATAAAATATTTGCTTATTTTTTGAAAAAAATGCACAACATTGAGAAATATGGAAGTTATTTTAAAAGTTTTTTATTCTCTTCTAAATGCATTTTCTAAAATATACAAAAAATTAGTAAAAAAAAAAAAAATGACATAACTGACCTCACATGCATTAAGTGAAATAAACCAGACACAAAACATAATACAGTGTATCATTCCATTTATACAAAATAGTAATCATACCACAATAATAAAGAGGTAATAAAAATGGACCAGGCATGGTGGCTCACACGTTTAATTCTAGCACTTTGGGAGGCTGAGGCAGGTGGATTGCCTGAGGTTAGGAGTTCGAGAGCAGCCTGGCCAACATGGTGAAACCATGTCTCTACTAAAAACAAAATTAGCCAGGTGCAGTGGTGGGCGCCTGTAATCCCAGGTACTCAGGAAGCTGAGTCAGGAGAATCTATTGAACCCGCGAGGCAGGCAGAGGTTGCAGTGAGCTGAGATCGCACCACTGCACTCAAGCCTGCATGACAGAGACTCCATCTCAAAAACGAAACCAAACCAAACAATAAAGGTGATAAAATGGAATGTCCATAAAAGGGAAATCAGTAATGATTGTCTAGTCCTGATAGTGGAAATATTTTAAAGTTATACCATGGCTATAGTTGCATAATTATAAATATACCAGAAACTTTGTATTGAGTATGATGTTATGCATATTTCATCATAACTTTTTTTAAAAAAATAAGCATGCCATAAAATAGCAAGGTGGTTAAATTGCTTGCTTGAAAACAATCTGAAAATGCAATCAATTTTTGCTCATTTCAAGGTTTTTGATTAGGTGTTTCTGAATTCGTCCGTTAGGTCTAGTTGGTATATTAAAGTCAGCAGTTCACATTGAGAATTTTCTACTTCTACCATTCTGCCATTTGTGCTTCATATATTGGGGTCTTTGTTAGGTACATGCATATTTAAAACTATTTTATCTTCTTGATAGATTTATAATTTTTTAACATAAAATTTCCTGTGTCAATTAATTATAGCAATGTTGTCTTAATGCCTATCTTGTCTAAGGGTAACCACCCCAGCTTATTTTGCTTACTATTTGTGTGGAATCTTTTTACCCATCCTTTCACTTTCAACCTATTTGTGAGCTTAGGACTAAAGAGATTCTCCTGTAGATAACATAAAGTTAGTTCATGTTTTTGTTTATTTTTAAACCATCTGCCAATCTTTGCATTGTAATTGTAGATGTTAATTTCTATTTAAACTATTTATAAGGAAGGGCACACTTCTGCCATTTTTCTAGTTGTTTTCTAAAGTCTTGTATATTTTTGTTAATTAACTCTTATATTACTGACATCTTTAATGTTCTAGTATTTTTCCAAAACAGTTTTGATTCTCTTCTCATTTCCTCTTTCACTTCTTTCTTTAGTTGTGTTTTTAGTGGCTACCTTAAGGATGACAATTAATCTCATCACTGTGTAACTGTACTTTAAATTAATACCGCTCGTAATTCAGTTTTATTTTAAAAGCTGTTTCAATAGAGATCTGCTCCTCCAATGTTATGTTGTTTTGTCACATATTACATCTTTATGCATTGTATGACATTAACAAAAATTTATAATTATTTTATGCATTAGTATTTTAAATTACATGTAAAAAAGAACAATAGATAAAAGTTACAAAATATTCTTTAATAGTGGCATTTATATTTTGCCATGTACTCATTTTTACTGGCATTCTTTATTTTTTCATATGGCCTTGCATTATTACCTAGTTTGTCATTTCATTTCAACCCAAAAGATAACCTTTGTCATTTAATGCATACCAGGTCTACTAGTGACAAGCTGTTAAATTTGTTTTAATCTATATAGCTCTTAGTGTCTTCAAAGGTCTTCAAGGATGTCCTTCATCTTTGAAGAGCAGTTTTGCTGAAAATAGAGTTCTTTGTTGGCTTTTTTTTTTTCTTTCTACACTTTAAATATATTGTCCTATCATATTCTGGACTCCGTAGTTTTTAGTGAGAAATTATATTCTGGACTCTAGTTTTTAGTGAGTTGTTAATGTCAGTGTAGATGCATTGCAAATAGTAGTCTTTTCTCCATAACTTTCTTCAAAGTTGTCTCTTTAGCTTTTGAAAGTTTTATTGTAATTTGTCTTGGTGTAGAGTTCTTTGAGTTTATACTATGAATTCAATGAGATTTTGGAATGTGTAGATTCACGTATTTCATCATGCTTGGGAACTTTTTAGCCATTATTTCTTCAGATGTTCTTTCTGCCCCATTTTATCTTTCTCCCTTCTTTCGGGAGTTTTCATAATGCTTGTAATGGCACATTTTATAGTATCCCATTGTTATCTTAGGCTCTGTTCATCTTTATTCATTATTTTTTATTTCTGCTAGTTGGGATAATACGAATTGAAGTGACCTCAAGCTTGCTGGTTGTGTCTTTCGTCTACTTAAATCTTTTGTTGAACCTTTGTGGTGAATTTTTTATTTTAGTTATCTTAATTTTCAACTTTAGAGTTTGGCTTCAGTTTATAATCTCTATCTCTATTAATATTTTCTATTTGATGAGACACTATTCTTCTGAAATGTTTTTCCTTTTGATGTTATTTATCTTTGCAGCACATTTAAGACAGGTAATTTAAAGACTTTTTCTAGATTTTTCAATGCCTACGATTCCTCTAGGACTGTTTCTGTTAATATCTGTTATCTTATTAGTGGGCCATTATTTTTTCATTAATTTATTTGCACGCTTTGTATTTCATTGCTGTTGCTGAAAACTAGACTTTTTCTATCACAACAACCCTGAAATAATATTCTCTCTCATCCCGTTGGGTTTTTTTGTTGCTTATTGTAAATTTTACTTGTTTGTTTGGTGAGTTTTCAAAATTATTTTTAAAATATCATCCTTTTGTCGTGTTTAGCAATAAAAATCTCTGCTTTATTAGCTTCATGTGAGCTAGTTATTTGACAGAGATTTTCTCAAATGCCTGCTCACATCAAATATAAATCTACTAGTTCTTGCAGTTGGGTTTACTTAGCCAGAAAGATTACAACTTTGCTGTTTTCTTTTCTTCCTGCTTGTGCAGTGCTTGGAGGTAAAGCAGACATGAGAGATAACAGCTTCGTAGGTCTTTGTGAGCATTTGCCTGTCCCTTGATTGACCCTGAACATGCTTATGGGCTTCTGGATTCTCAGGAATATGTGGATAATTTTCAAAGCCCGAATCCCCCAGGCACCTCACTCCTCAGTCTTTTCTCTTAGATATTCTACATGACTTTTGCTTGCCGCACTGATATTCTTTCTCCAAGGTGTGATGAGTAGTTAATTAGCCCTTAACTATTTTTGCCAAACATTAGGTTATTAATTTAGAATTGTTTATTTTTAATGTAGGTGTTTACTGCTGTGAATTTCTCTCAGTAGTTTGCTGCATCTCATGTTTTGATGTTTTTTTGAGACAAGTTCACACTCTGACACCCAGGAATGAGTGCAGTGGTTTGATCAGGGGTCTCAGAAGCCTTGACCGTGTAGGCTCAAGTGAACTTGCTGCCTCAGCCTCACAAGTAGCCAGAGCTACAGGCAGGTGGTACAATGCCTGGCTAATTTTTGAATTTTTTTTGTGAAGATTGGTTCTCATTATGTTGCCCAGGCAGGTCTCAAACTCTTGGGCTCAGTCCTCCCACTGCTGCCTCCTAAAATGCTTAAATTACAGGCATAAGTCACAGCACTCAGCCTTTATAAAACCTTTGATATTTTTTCTTTTATTCTGTTTTCCCATGTTTGTAACATGTTGTCCCAAATTATACAATAGTTCTATGGTAGTTGTGGCAGATTTGTGACATAAAATAGAGAAAACATAAGTTACATTTAAATTTGGGGTAAACAACAAATAACTTTTTAGTATAGCTATGCAATGTTTTTATATCTGTGTATAATATGTGTAAGCAACTACTGGAGTATATACAAATAACAATTCATCATTTACCTGAAATTCAAATATAACCAAGTGTGTTACATTTGTCAACCCTTGTTCATGGGAGCCACTGTTCTTTTCTCCAGACTCAGCATTAATGACCTGAAAACCTTCATTAGAGAAAAATAAAGTTTGATAATTAGCAGATACATTCTTTTGCGGTATGTAGTAGTCATTAGAGAGGGTGTGGCATGAATTAAAGTGTGTGATCTGGATACCTTATGGGGAGAAAAAAATAGAATTCTTACGTATGTTGTTTTATCTAATTGTATTACCTCTTTCTGTGATATAACTTTTAATACATACAGTATATTTAGTAAAAGTGATTTCTACATAAGTAGTAAGTAGTTATTTGTATATTAATTGTCCATGTTTATTTTCTGGAACTAGACTGCAGTATTTAATATATGGAGATTATTATGGCTTTAATCTGATACTATCCTGGAGCTTCTTTTAGGTTTAACATGACAAAAGAACCATATCATGTTGATGGCATCAGTATATTTTGGTGGCAACTATCCATTGTTTGGTTCTGGACATTGAGATAAATGTGTACTTATACTAGATTATGTGTTGGGAGAAAAAATAAAAACTGATATATAAACTATGCAATTTCCTTTTTGTAAACTCATCCATATCAGGTGGTTTAAAATTGGTTAGCAGTTTTCTAACTCAGATGTTAATTTCTGAGTATGAGGTAAAAAATACTGTCAAATCATCTTCATTGCCTTGCACATTTATATTTGTGGTTTGTGCATTAGTACCATCACAACTCACTGGCTCACTATAGCCTCAAGATCCTATGCTCAAGTGATCCTTCCATGTCAGCTTCCCATGTAACTGGGACCACAGGTACGTGCCACCATGCCTAGCTAATTTCTTTCTTATTTTTGATAGACACAGGGTGTCACTGTGTTGCTCAAGCTAATTTCAAACTGTTTATCTGAAGCAATGTCCCTGCCTCAGCCTCTCAAAGCGGTGGAATTATAGGCATGAGCCAGAGCTCTATTATTCTAAGCTGCGGGCTGAATTAGTTGGATACAATAGTGATGACTGTATTCAGGGCAAAGAAGAAAGTAATTGCAGAATTATTCAATAAAATTTTATGAAGGGTTCTCATACAGAGATATCATGATTAAGAGATGGAGAATTATCTTTACTATTAGTGACCTTGGTGTTTTTCCAAGGCTTGGAAAGGCATCTTTCCATGGAAGGGTATCTCTGTATAAAGTGAAGCATCAAGAAAATTATCACTTAATGCAAATTCATGGATCCCATAAAGTAGAAAAAGGTAGTCCATGTACTTGTAGCATTGAAAACTGGATTTTAGCAATTTCCACCTGAGATGAAATAAAGCTTTCATGAGATTTCTCTGGGATAAAAACAAAACTTGAACAGAGCCAGAATTATTTTAAGGGATTCGTTTAATAGGACTTGTGGTAAGTGGAATAATGCCATGCAAAGGTCCCCATGTCTAACCACCAGGTTCTAGGCATGTATTATGGTATATGAGAAATGGGAATTCAGGCTGCAGATGAAATCAAGGTTGATAACCAGCTGACTCTAAAACAAAAACATTAACTTGAATTACAGATTTGGGCCTAATGTAATTATAAGCATTCTTAAAAGTGAAAGAAATAATAAGAGAAACTGAGTACTGTGATGTGAGTCAGTTAAACTTTTTTTTCAACTTTTTCTTTAGGTGATTATTTTCCCTTAACATAAAATTTACTTTAGCTCAACTATACAAACATGTGAGTTATTGTTATGTAACCATCACTCTTCATTAAGAAATGCTTTGTAAAAAGTGAGCCAGTTTTTCATATACATTCTTCAAAATACATTCTCAACATTATATATCAAATTATATATACATACATGCACACATACACTATATATATCAAGGATTTATATGATAGGATTAATTAAGAAAAAAATTAGTGGAATAAAAATAATGTTTATGATAATTTTGGCCATAGAATATATAATACAGATGATGTGAAGTACAAAATGTTTTTTATACTTCATATTTTGATGTACAAAGTATGTTTGTCTTTGTAATTCAGATGATTACTTTGCACTTGTGTTCCCATGAAAAATGCCTTTCATTTCTAAGCTGGTATTGGCATCTCAGCCAACACTTTTCTCCTTCTTTTCTGCGTCTTCTCCTTTTCTGCTTTTTCTGGATCTCAGGCCAGAGCGCACTTACCTACCAGTCTGTCATGTGGCCCTCATCCACATGGTGGTCCTTCTCACCATGGTGTTCTTGTCTCCACAGCTCTTTGAATCACTGAATTTTCAGAATGACTTCAAATATGAGGCATCTTTCTACCTGAGGAGGGTGATCAGGGTCCTCTCCATTTGTACCACCTGCCTCCTGGACATGCTGCAGGTCGTCAACATCAGCCCCAGCATTTCCTGGTTGGTGAGGTTTAAATGGAAATCCACAATTTTTACCTTCCATTTGTTCTCATGGTCTCTCAGTTTTCCTGTTAGTAGTAGCCTGATCTTTTACACTGTGGCTTCTTCCAATGTGACCCAGATCAATTTGCATGTCAGTAAATACTGTTCACTTTTCCCAATAAACTCCATAATCAGAGGACTGTTTTTCACTCTGTCATTATTCAGAGATGTTTTTCTTAAACAGATAATGCTGTTCTCAAGTGTCTACATGATGACTCTCATTCAGGAACTACAGGAGATCCTGGTACCTTCACAGCCCCAGCCTCTACCTAAGGATCTTTGCAGAGGCAAGAGCCATCAGCACATCCTGCTGCCGGTGAGTTTCTCGGTGGGCATGTACAAGATGGACTTCATCATCTCAACCTCCTCAACGTTGCCATGGGCATATGACCGTGGTGTCTAGAGGCTAGTGGGCAGTGTCTATACCATTGTCAGGTTTTTGGTGCTACTGAGATCTGATAAAAGGGTAATCAATGTGATGTAAACTATAAGACAAATGTTTAAAAGGTTAATTGTATGAATCCTGTCATGAGTTAAATTATTCAGAGTGTTCATTATAGAGAATAATCCAAAGTTAAAATAATTGGATAATTTATTTGTATGTAGGATAAAAGTAGTAGGAGATTGCTTCTTGAAGATTTAAAATTATATTGAGTGTAATTATTTGCATTAAAATAATTTTAAATGTTTTGAATAGCAAGTATTGATATAATTAAACTTTCGAATAACTTAGTGCTTTGCCTTTATTCCTAATGTTTATATGGAAGCATGTGGTCAATGTTTGATGCATTACAGCTCTGAGCGGTCCTTCTGTATTAGGTGGTCATCATTTATATACTTCTCCATAAAAGATTAAGGACCTGGAAATGTAAGATACATGAAGAAAATCTAAGTGGAGAGGCTGTTTGTGGTTAAGTGATAACAGTGTTGTAAGCGATGCATGAGGTAGGTGTTCAGTGCATATCCTCTGCATTTTATTAATAAACACTGTAAAATTTAGAAGAAAATTGTTTCACCAAATGCACATAAAACTAATAAAATAGAGTGGATTTTGATATGTCTCAGATTATTTGTAAACTTTATTTGTTTTAACAAATAAAAAATATTTTTAATATGTTAAGGGTCTTGTGCATTGATTGAAGTGTCATCCTGCTGTCAACATTAACTTATTCTACCTTACTCAGGCTTGTAGGTAAAACATGGTAAGACTATACCATTAAGTAATATGGTGGAATAACATCTGTAGTGATTCTTTTTCCCAGTGGCCTTATACTTCAAATAATTTAGAGAATATTGTTCCCACGTGTTACATTTTTATTTATTTTGTAACTGTGAAGTTATTGTGATGGTTATACTGAAGATTATATAGGAGTATAATCAAAAGCCCTACATTTCTGAATTCTGAATAACTATTTAGAAAATTCAGCCTACATTTTTTTGAACATGTTATCTCTGGTTCTACAAACACAAAATTTTAGTTTTAATTTACATGGTGTAAAATTTCTAAATATATTACTCTAAAGATAAACTTCAGATATAAAAGAATTGGAGAAGTAATTGTTTTTATGTGAGTGTGGACCTATTCTGAGTAGGAAAATATATCAGAACAAAGCAGATGATTTCATGAGTGTTTATGATATACTAGCAAACTAAAACCTCACAGATTCTGAAAGCAAATTTATTTCCTCTGCTTTCCATTCATCTCTAAAATCTTGTGGTTCAGAATCTCCCCATCCAAACCCTTTGTTCTAGCTTGCCTTCTATTCATGCTAGACCTAATATACAATTTTCTTCTTTCAAAGTTCATGAAGTATTCTTTATGTGACCTGCCTAATGATTATAGCTCTTTCGGTAAAATGTAATGGTGCTAACTAAATAATTTGAAGATCTGAGTAATTTTGCAGTGAGTATATTGTTAAATTTTATTATTTAATTAGTATATTTAATCTTTTCAATTAGAGAATTCTATTTAAGCAAAATGTTTTTATTACTGTTTCTTTCATGTTTTATAGTAGACATATTTGATATAATTATTGAATTTATTGAGCCATGCTTTTAAGGTAAAAACTCAGGAGGCTTCATAAGCCATGGGATTTTCTTGCCATTTGTATGAAGTAAACAAACACAAGACGGTGCTAGGTGTGTAACAAATGCTTTACAATTATCAGGAAATATTTCTGCTCGAGTGAGTTTGTATCTTCATATAAGAGATTAAAAACACCCAGAGTGAAGAAGTGGCGTTGGTTTTGCATGGTGAGAGAGGAAATCTGTAGTCAGGCTGCACAACTAACTCTAAATTTAGACAGATAAATTCTGCTTCTTTTATTTTCTAATTATCTTCAGTTTTTCTTTCACTGTCTTTTTATCTTCACCCCCAAATACATATGCATTACAGCCCTTCTCTTTCTTTGCCTGTCTTATGGCAACATCTTGCTCACTGTTCTCCCCACCCCATGTTATTTCACACAGTACTCTGCAGGTTCTGAGGACAAGTTAGAATTATTTTTAATGTGCCTAAAAATTCTTTGTAGCTGGAGAATTTGAGGTCATTTATAGATTACAAATGCAACATTCTTGTCACTTAATTTAGATAAGATAACGCAGTATCCATGGATTAGATCGTTGGACAGATAGCATTGTTAAACATTATTATATTATAACACAAAGAATGGTAAATATCAAATTAGACTAAGTGAAGTATTAATACCAGTGGGCCATGTATTATTAGTGCTACATAAGAAAACAAATCAAAATTTGGATATCCCATTAGAGACATGTCTTAGAAATAAAATTGTATTAAGGAGAGTTAGTGGTAAGTAAAATATTTTAAATTCAAATTTCTATGAAATATTTATCCCACCGCTTATGTTTCCATGCAGAATCTTCTGTTGTTGAGTGGGTATAATAAGTTTTGGACAAAAATAAAATAACCTTTGTGGGTTTAAAATTTGGAATAATCTTTTTTGCGGATTCGTATTGCCATCTTGGGAAATTTCTCACTCATATTATTATAACTTCTTTTATTTGAATGGGCACAGTTACAGTCCACAGTTTTTATTCTCAGACACCTAATTACAGCCAAATTCTAGGTCATTCTCTTTAGAGAAATCTCAAAGACAATGGCAGGCTTTTGGATTAAAACATTTTCTCAGTGATTTTGGAAGCAAACTTGTTTTCAGTGTTTACAGAAGGGCCAGAGGCGAAACCATTAGCAGCACCTGCCTTTTTAGTGTCTTCTATACCAGGAATTCCAGGTACCTGGAGCTCAAAGTAAAAGCTCTAAAGTACATAGGATTCTCCCAGGCACTGTGCTGGTTCTTGCACATGCTGGTAAATATCTGAGTTTCTATGCTTATGACTGACAAATGAAATGACAAAAACATCACAAAAACTATATATTTTGATACTACTCTGCTAAGCTTATGAATAAGACACAGACTGATTATTTGAAACACTACCTTTTCATGTTTCTACATTTTTTAAATTGACAGATAAAATTATATGTATTGTCATGTAAAATGTGGTTTAAAGCATGCATACATTGTGTAATATTAAATTCTGGCTAATTAACAAGTGCTTTACCTCATATAGTTATCATTTTTGTGATGGAGAACACTTAACATTGACTATATCAGTATTTTTAAAACATAACAGTATGTCATCATTAACTATAGTCACCAGGCTTTACAACAGATTTTTTTAACTTATTCCTTTAATCTAACTAATTATATATTCTTTGAAAGACATCTACCCAATCCCCTTCCAAAATATCTTAGCCTCTCGTTCCACTATTTTAGTCTCTACTTCAATGCGATCAATTTTTTAAAATTCCACATATGAGCAAAATCATGAGGTATTTGTCTTTCTGTGTCTGGATTATTTCAATTAACATAATCTCCTTCATGTTCATCCATGTAATTGAAAATGACAGTATTTTCTATTTTAAGGCTGAATAATAATCCATTCGTACAGAATGGATGTATGCCACATGTTCTTTATCATTTTATTTGATAATAAACCCTGAGTTTGATTTTATATCTTGGCTATTGTGAATAGTGCTGCAATAAACATAACAGCACAGATGTCTCTTTCACATACTTGATTTTTTTGATATGTGCCCAATAATGATATTGCTGTATCATATGATAGTTCAGCTTTTAATGTTTGAGAAATCTCCATACTGTTTTGTATAATGGCTACGCTGATTTACATTCAGTGCGCAAGCATTCCCTTTGCTCCACATCTTTGCCAATAATTATTTTTTTGGCTTTTTATTAATAGTCATTCTAACAGTAGTGAGTTGTTATCTAATAGAGGTTTAGATTAGTCCTAACCTTAGATTAGCCTTAACCTTAGATTAGCCTTATGATAATTTACCTCGCATTTTTTTCATATATTTTTTACCATTTGTATGTCTTCCTTTAAGAAATGTTTATTTACATCTTTCACCCATTTTAATAGTTACTTGTTTATTGTTCTATAGTTGTTTGAGTTTCCTGTCTATTTTGGATAGTAACCCTTTGTCAGATATATAACTCATAAATATTTTCTCTTATTTATACGTTATTTTTCTTCTGTTGGTTGTACCTAGTGCTGTGTAGAAGCTTTTCAGTTTTCAAGTAATCTCATTTGTCTACTTCCACTTTTGTTTGCTGGGATTTTGAGGTGAAATAAATAAGAAAAAATTATTGTCCCCACCAATGTCATGGAGCTTTCACTCTGTTTTTTGTAGCAGTTCCAGAGTTTTGAGTCTTTGATTTATGTTGGTGGAGGGTCTCATTTCATTGTTCTGCCTGGAGATACTCAGTTTTCATAACACCACTTTTGAAGTAACTGTCCTTTCCCCACTGTGTGTTCTTGTCACCTTTGTGTAAGATCCTGAAATTTTATGAATTTGTTTCTGGGCTCTGCATTCTGCTTTATTCACCTATGTTTCTCTTTTTAAACCAGTTATCATACTGTATCAATTCCTAAAGCTTTGTAGTGTATTTCAAAGGTAGTGTAATGCTTCCAGCTGTATTATTTGTGCTTAATTTCTGTTGCTGTTTAGTGTTTTTGTGATGCCATATGAACTTTAGAATTTTTGAAATATTCTAAATAATTTCATTTGTATACAGATAAGAGACTGCTTTGAATCTGTAGATTGTTTTGCTCAGTGTAGACATTTTAACAGTATTAATTCTGCCAATCAATGAACCAGAAATATCTTTCCATTTATTTGTGATTTAGAAAGTTTTTCTACTCAGTGTTTTTTAATTTTAATATAGAAATCTTTCACCATTTTGGTTACATTTATGAGTAAACTTTTTGTAGTTATTATAAATAAAATTGTTTACTTGACTTTTTCAGGTAGTTTATAGTTCATGTATAGAAATTCTGGCATTTTGAATTGGTTTAAATTTTTTATTTTTGTGGGTACTTAGTTGGAGATATATTGATGTGATATATGAGATACTTTAATACAGGCATAGAAAGAAATAATCACATCATGGAAAATGGGGTATCCATCATCCCCTCAGGCATTTATTCTTTGTGTTACAACCAATCTAATTTTACTTTTTTCGTTATTATAAAATGTACAATTAAAATTATTATTGACTATAGTCACCCAGATGTACTATCAAACACTAGGTCTTATTAATTCTTTCTTTTTTTTTGTACTCATTAACCATCCCTACCGTCCCCTACATTCCCCACTGCCCTTCCCAGCCTCTGGCAACTACCTCTACCTACATGAGTTATATTGTTTTGATTTTTAGCTCCGACAAATAAGTGAGAACATGGAAAGTTTGTTTTTCTGTGCCTGGCTTATTTCACTTAATCTATGGTTCCATCAATGTTGTTGCAAATAATAGGATCTTATTTTTTATGGCTAAATAGTATTCCATTGTGTATATGTGCCATGTTTTCTTTATCCAGTCATTTCTTGATGGACATCAGGTTACTTCCAAATATTGGCTGGAGCACACTGCTGTAACAAACATGGGAGGGTAGATATCTCTTCAATGTATGGATTTCCTTTCTAGTAAGTGAATCCTCAGGAGTGGCATTCCTGAATTATATGGTAGCTTTATTTTTAGTTGTTTTGAAGAATTTTCAAAATGTTACATTCCTGTCAACAGCATACAAGGGCTCCCTTTCTCCACTTCTCTCCAGCATTTGTTACTGCCTACCTTTTGGATATAAGCCATTTAACTGAGTCACGTAATATCTCATTGTAGTTTTGATTTGCATTTGTCTGATGATCAAAAATGTTGAGCACCTTTTCGTATGCCTGTCTGCCCTTTGTACGTCTTATGAAAAATGCCTATTCAAATATTTTGTTTATTGTTTATCAGATTATTAAATTTTGTACATTGAAAGATTTTACTGTGAATAGTTGACGAAAATTGGTTAAGTCCATTAAGACATGCTTCCTGCCCCTCACAACTCACCCACGCTGTTCTAGTCTCTCCGTAAGTGTCAATTCTGAAGGCCACAACTTCCATAACTTCCATATCTTCTCAGTATTACATTTCAAGATGAATATATTGTGCTTTACTCTGGCAACATGTCTTCCATAAAATGAGAATACACATCTGGGAAAAGGGAAAATAAATTACCTCACTTATTAGATTCAGGTGAGTACGTGTTAGAAACCTAATGTATAAAGTTATGTCAAGCACATTAGCAAAATGACACAATAAAAATCATAGGCCCTAATTTCTTCATATACATATACACTTAACAAAAATATCCTGAACAAAATTCCATTGTGATAAGTTTAAAAATCAAGAGTTTGCAGCACCCCAGGCAAGCAGAATGCCAAAAGCCAAATAGTAGAGGAAGGAAAATTTGTTGCATTTACCCACCACAGCCCTTCTTCCTCTCCAATGCAGCATGATGCTTATAGAAGTAAACTTCTGACTTCTTTCTGAAGAAAGAAAATAAACACACAATCCCAGAGTAGACACAGCCTGAGAACAGGCTTTAGAAACCTCCAGAATCTCTAGCCTGGTCAATTGGTGTCAGACTCCAAACCACTTTATAAAGACTGTGACAGCTTTCTGTTAATGCTCAAATCACAATGAAAGATGACAACAGAGTACCAGAGTAACATGGCCAAAAAAACACAATAAATTTCCAGATATGAACCCTAAAAAATTGAGATATACAAATTACTTGAAAATATTCAAAATAACCATCTAAATGATGCTCAGTGTATGAAATGGGAACATAGACAACTGAATGAAAGCAGCAAAATGAGAATATCACAAAAAATTATAAAAACCTTCAAAAATTATGGAGCTGAAGACTACAGTAAGTCATAAAGACAGAAATTCTCAAACAAAATACTTGTAAAATATCAAGAAGCTTAAATTACTTTGGCTAAGATAAACACAAAGTTACTCATAACAAGACAGATTATAAGCAAAATTTTAAAAGTCGTAGGCAAAAGGAATCTTGGAAGCAAGCAGTAAGATAAACCTGTTGTGTCATCTATAGCATGCTTCATTGAGATTTGCAGTGGATTTATCAACACAGTCCTTGCAGGCCAGAAAAAAAGTTAAGTGATATAGTCAAAGTGCTGAAACAAAAACTTTCAAAGCAAGAATACTATAACTAGGAAAATTCTTCAAAAAAAATTCCAAAGTAACAAAATGCAGTAAAAGTACATCACTAGTATATCTGCCTTACTGAAAATGCTTAGGGGTGTCTCTTCCACTGAAAATAAAATTCTAGAAAAAACCTACATTATATAAAAAACATATAACTCTCTAATAAAGACATGCACATAACAGGAAATTGTATTAAAATTATAATACAGAAAACAATTCTATTTTCAAAATTTGATAGACAAAAACATGAAAGTAGTTATAAACACAATATGACAATATAATTTGTGACTTACAAAGTTGAGAGCAGACATACTGAAAAAAACTAAGCATCTGAATATCTTACCAATTCAAAATATATTGTAATTTTAAGAAGATTTTTGTAATCTTCATGATAACCACAAATATTAGAGAAATACAACATAGAAATTGAGAAAGAAATCAGACCATATCACCAGAGAAATCAGTGAGACAGCAAGAAAGATGAAAAAGGAACAAAATGGCTACAATAATAAAACAATGATTAATATAATAATAGTAAGTTCCATTTCAGAATACTTTAAAAATATTAATGGACTAACTTTCCCAATCAAAAGACATATTTCATGAAGAGATTCTAAAAATTGTATTAACAGCATCAACTATATTCTGTGTACAAGAGAATCACTGGATCCAATCACAAAGATAGACTAAAAGCAGGATGGAAAAAGATATTCCATGCAAATGTTAGCCAAATGAGAGCAGAAGTAGTCACTGTGACAAAAGACTTTAAGTCAATCATTATCATATTTTATAAAATTTAATTCAAAACTACAGGATAAAAAAGACATTAAATAATACAAAGGTTCATTCATTGGAAACCTATAAAAATTGTATATGTTGTTTGTGTGTGGATTCCTGTGTGTGTGCTTATACCTGTATCTACATCTACATCACACATCAGGGTTTCCAGTTATACATCTATATCATACATCAGGGTTTCCAGTTTATAAAGCAAACATTGATGACATTGAAGCAAGAAATACACAGTGAACAGAAGACTTGAATACACTATAAAAATCAAATTCAACATGCGTAGAGAACACCTCATCCAACAAAATACACAATGTTTTCAATATTTCAGAAAATATTCTTGATAGAAGACGTTAGGCCATGAAACAAGTCTTAACACCTTTTTTTAAATTGAAATATTACTGCTTATTCTTTATAACCAAAATTGAATAAAATAGAAAATGAAACATTCACAAATATACGGGAGTTAAACAATACACCCTCGAACATGCTTTTCTTCAAGGGTGGGAATACTTAATATTATGAAGATGTCCAGACTACATAAAGTGGTCTACAGATTCAATACAGTCCTTTCCAAATTCTCAGTTTATTTTTGCAGAAATAAAAAAGCAACCCCAGAATTATACAGACTACAAAGAGACCAAGAAGACTCAACAATCTTGAAATATCAAGAACAATATCGGGGGTGTCACACCTCCTGATTTTGGAATACATTGTGAAGCTACAGTAGCTAAAGGAATTTGGTGCTGGCATAAATGCACACAACAAGAACAATAAAACAATAGAAAACTTAGAAATACAGCTACACATGTGTGGTCAAATGAGTTGTTTGCACACCCATGCAGCATTATTGACAAAAGCTGATAGGCTAAAGCAGCTTAAACTTTCTTAAATGAATAAATAAAATTTGGAATATAAAAATAGAATATTGCTCAGCTTTGCAAAATCAGCATATGTAACATATAAAATCAAAATCTTAACATGCTAAATAAAGGCAGTCACAACAAGACAGGTTGTCTGAATACACTTATATGGGATATCTAGAAACAAAAAATAATACTATATTTGACGGGCTGGGCGCGGTGGCTCACGCCTGTAATCCCAGCACTTTGGGAGGCTGAGGCAGGCCAATCACCTGAGGTCAGGAGTTCAAGACCCAGGCCTGGCCAACATGGTGAAACCCTGTCTACTAAAAATTTAAAAATTAGCTGGGCATGGTGGTGCACGCCTGAAATCCCAGCTACTTGGGAGGCTATGGCAGGAGAATCGCTTGAACCTGGGAGGCAGAGGTTGCAGTGAGCCGAGATCATACCACTGCACTCCAGCCTGACAACAGAGCCAGACTCCGTCGAAAAAAAAAAAAAAAAAAAATCAGCCAAGAGGAGAAATACACAAGATGAACCATAAACAAAGTTGGTGTTATATTTATAGAGACAACCATGCACATACATATGTATAATTTAACAGTGATAGACAGCTGGTTAATTCATCTTTGAATTAAACCCCACCTTGATTTAAAGTATATATACAGAGTTGCAAATTGTCATTCAAAATTATAATACATAGGTAAAACAGAAACACAATAAACTGCCTATAAATGTATCCTTACTAAAAACACAGTAATTAGGAATTGCAAGACAAGATAAACATTTACCTATAAAATTCTGTATGCAACATTGATATATCATTATAACACCTTTTTCTAGGTAACTACCGAGTTCACCTGTGATTGTGCACCTATGGAGCGCACATACTTGGAATCATTGATGTCTACTGTATGGCAGTAAAATTTTACAGAAAATGCACTACAGACATTAAGAAAATGCTCTAGTAAAATTTTTTTAATGATTATGTAAAGACAGTAAAGATAATGTGTTACTATTAATATATTGATGCTATTTTCACAGAAAATAAAAAGGCTGCAATTCACTCTTTAGAAGCAAAGAAAAGCATTAGACTTTGAAATAAAGTAAAACCATGTATGTTGTAAAATATGAGTTATATACAATGCAAATATTTTGAAATAATTTTTTGTAATTTATCATTTAGATATAGGTTGAGAAAACAAAAATGTTAATGATTCCTATATGATTTCAGTTAACTGTAACGTACAAATGAACATTTTAATAAATAGGGAGTGCCTGTCTGATTTACTTCTTACATGGTGTGGAAATTATAGCATATTGTTCTGAATGAATCTAAAATAACAGACAAATTTGTAATACAGCAAAATACAAAGTGAAACCATATAAGGAGAGTGACATCAGCAAGGATGTTGGAATAAGGGGATCACTCTTGTTTATCTTCCCACAGCTACAATACTTTTGCAGCCATCCATGGACAAAAGTGCCTTTATGGGAGCTTTGGGATTAGAGAGGGCATTATGATACCCTGTGAAAAACAAAGACTGAGGAGGGCTGTTTTGGGAAGGCAGGCCCTCATTCAGGGGGCAAATCTGAGAACCCCTGATCTTGTCTACAGACTAGGAATTGACCCATCCTACTCAGTCACACTGAGAATCCTGAAGTGACTCTGTAACCATCTCCAATGCCTCCCAGTTATGGTCTGGAATTAGTCCTTCCCATACAGAGAACTGGGGAGAGACATTCATGATAATGGAGGCAGACCTACAGAATTTAACCTTTCACCTTTACTGTGGCCTCTGAAGCAGGTCTGTGACTCAGTTTCAGCCCTCTTCACCATAGTTTATAGACAGTTCTGCCCACCTAGAGACCCACAAAGGGAGAGAAAACCCTCTCAGGTACTCAGCAGAAGTCACACTTCATCCACACACCTACTATCAGGGCCGCCATATGCAAACCCAGCTTCAGAACCCTGGCCCTGGCATCTGCCCTACAGATCAAAGTTCTGAAAGCAGTTGAGTCTGCTCGAAATAAGAGGAGTCACAATGAAGCCACCTTGTGCCCAATTTTAATGCTTCTATTTTAACATACTAGTAGTCCTAAGTAGAAGAATTTGGGGAAAAATATTTTAAAGCCATCTAAATTGAAAAAATGTCACTTTTTGTAGATGACATGATCTTATATACAAAAACCATAAATAGTACACCAAAAACCTATTTAAACTAATAAATGCACTCAATGAATTTTCAGAATATAAAAACAGCATACAAATCTCAATTGTGTTTTTATACCCTAACAACAAACTATCCAATTAAAAGGAAGAAAATGATTTCATTTAAAATAAAATAAAAAACAATAAATTTCTTAGGAACAAATTTAACAACTAAGGTGAAAGATCTTTATGCTGAAAAATAAAATATTGATAAAGGAAACTGGAGAAGACAAAAAATGTAAAGCTATCATAGATTGGAGGAGTAAATATTGTTAAAATTCTACATTATCCAAAATGATCTATAGATTTAATAAACTCCCTATAAAAATTCCAATAACTTGTTTCACAGTAATAGAAAATACAAGCTTAAAATTTATGTGAAATTACAACAGACTTTGAATAGCTAAAGCAATCTTGAGGAAGAAGAAAGCTAAGGATATTATAGTTTCTGATCTTTTTTTTTTTTTTTTTTGAGATGGAGTCTCACTCTGTCACCCAGGTTGGAGTGCAATGGTACGATCTCAGCTCACTGCAACCTCTGCCTCCCAGGTTCAAGTGATTTTCCTACATCAGTCTCCTGAGTAGCTGGGATTACAGGTGCTCGCCACCATGCCCGGCTAATTTTTATATTTTTAGTAGAGACGAGATTTCACCATGTTGGTCAGGCTGGTCTCGAACTCCTGACCTCATGATCCACCCACCTCGGCCTCCCAAAGTACTGGGATTACAGGTGTGTGAGCCACCGCACCCGCCCCTATAGTTTCTGATTTTAAATTATATTCAATACTATAGTAATAAAAACAAGACAGCATGTGCATAAAAATGAACACGAAAACCTACAGAACAAAGTAGAGAGCCTAGAAAAAAAAAAACCTATGCCTATAAAATCAATTAATCTTGAACAAGGATATTGAAAATGCACAATGCAGTAAGTGAAATCCCTTTATTATTTGGAGCTAAGAAAATTGGGTATCCACAAGCAAAAGAATAAAATTAGATGATTTTTCTTACATCATATCCCAAAATTAACTCAAAATAAGGACAAATAAAACACATGAATTCTTAAAAATCCTAAAAGAAAACAAAATGTGGTCAACCTCCTTTATATTGGTCTTGACAGTATTTTTTTGGATCTGACACAAAAAGTGCGCCACAAAGGCAAATATAAAAAAGTTGGACTACATCAAACTAAAAAACTTATAAACAGAAAACAATAAGAAAACTTACAGGTTGGGAGAAAATATCTGCAAACCACTGTTAAGTGGTTAATATCCAAAATATGTAAGGAACTCATACAAATAAAAAACCAAAACAACAATAATAATGACAGTAATGATAACATGATTAAAAGACAGGTAAAGAAATATTTTTTTAGTGAAGACGTAAACTAAGAGTATTTGAAAAGCTGCTCAACATCTTCAATCATGAGGCAAATACAAATAGAAACAATGATGACATATCATTTCACACTTGTTAGGATGGCTAATATCAAAATTCAGAGACATGTATGTTATTCTGATGATGGATACCCTAAAAGCCCTGACTTCACCACCATGCAGTCTATCCATGTCACAGCCCTTGAACTGGGACACATTTACCTGAAAACCAGCCATTTCATCTTCTTTCTCTTTCTTCTCTGAGTTTTTGTCAGGTGAGATTCTCTGGACAAGTCATGGCTGTATGTTGATAATATGCCTTAAAAAGCATCAGTACAACCCCTTTACTTGCTACGACTACAGCTACAGGGAGAAGGAACTAGAAGTGCAAAAAAGTCCACTCTTCCCTGTCCTTTATCCCAGGAGAGAGTCAGGAACAATGAGTTCCTACATAAAGATCAAAATGTGTTTCTCATTTCCTGCTTTCAAGTGTCCTCTCCTATCAAAGACTCAAGCAACTTTTGCTGCAGCAACTGGACTATGGGCTGCACTAACCACCGTATCAAATCCAAGCAGAGCAGATCCTGTGACCTGGAGAAAGGAGCCGGCTGTCCTTCCCTGCTGTAACCTAGAGAAAGGAAGCTGGCTGTCCTTCCCTGGCACAGCTGCACGCAAGGAATTTTCCACCACGCTCACCGGGCAGTAAGTTGAAACATAAAAAGATTAACAAGTTGGCTTATTTTTACTTCTACTCAGAGTGCAGAGTCATCGTAATTTATTGTTTTCTATGTCTCAAATACTCTGCTTTATTTTATTTTATTTTATTTTATTTTTGAGATGGAGTCTCGTTCTGTTGCCAGGCTGGAGTGCAATGGTGCAATCTCAGCTCACTGCAGCCTCCGCCTCCCGGGTTCAAGCAATTCTGCCTCAGCCTCCCGAGTAGCTGGGACTACAGGCGCACACCAGCACGTCCAGCTAATTTTGGCATTTTTAGTAGAGATGGGGTTTCAACATGTTGGCCAGGATGGTCTCGATCTCTTGATCTCGTAATCCGCCGCCTTGGCCTCCCAAAGTGCTGGGATTACAGGCCTGAGCACTGCGCCCAACCTCTGTTTTATTTTTTAGTATGTTATCAAATGAAACATTAGTCCAATTATTAAAATAAATGCTTTAGTTGTCTGAGCAACTGTATTTTGTATCTGTCAAATCCACAAGCCTAACAATTTTACCTTTCTGAAATATCTACCACGTGTTCAAAGTCAGCACGCTACTCCTAGTTCTGCAAGGCACTGAAAGTACATAGAAAGAAAGAGGGGGGAAGCACATTTAAGAAACAGGTTTTCTGCAGGATCACAAGGGTATAACAATTGCCTATAACGGTGTGGCTACTTTCTCCGCATTCAGTCCCCGTGACTAAATAACTACTGCATTTGTGGAAGTCTCTAGGCTGGGTGCTGGACCCTAATTAATGCATTTGAAATCCAGGCCTACACTGTCCCTGGGCTCAGCGACTAACCTTAGTAGAAGCACACATTTCTCAATATGCACATAAGGCAAATAGGTGCTCACGGCAGCCAAACAGAATGCTTTGAAAAGCATTTTCCCAATGAGCCCCCCGCCAGCCCAAACCCCCGCAAACTCCGGAATTAGGAGACATAACAGGTACTTCCACCTCAGAAGCCAAAGCCCTCTGCGACTCCTGCCAAGAAGGGCAGGTTGCCATGCGTGGGTCGGCTGGGCGCGTCCTGGGGCTGGTCTGCCTGACCCGGACAAAACCAGGCGGCGAGCACGCGGCGCTGCATGCGGAAAACCGGAGCTGCGCCTCCTGCCGCCCCTCAGTCGCTAGGCAGGAACCCCAGGAGAGGCTACGGTCCCCTGACCTCCACAGAGGCTCGCCAGGGCCGGCGCGCAGGGGCAGGTGGGCGCGGGGGCTGCCCTGCGGCGCCGCAGCCTGGGCCTCCCCTGGCACCCGTGGTCGGCCATCCGCCGCGTCCGCAGCAGCGCGCTGAGCCTCTCCAGTTCGCGGGCCCTCCCCGGCTCGCTCCCGGCTTTCGCAGACCTCCCCCGCTCCTGCCCTGAGTCCGAGCAGAGCGCAACGCCAGCCGGCGCCTTCCTCCTGGGCTGGGAGCGAGTGGTGCAGCGGCGGCTCGAAGTCCCCCGGCCTCAAGCAGCCCCCGCGACTAGCGCGACACCCTCGCGGGATCCGAGTCCACCCTGCCACCAGCGCCGGGACGCCGCGTGCCTCAGAGCCCAAGGGCTGACCCGGGCCTTCCAGGTGGTCCATCTCGCTCCTACGGCTCCCGACGGTGGCGCTGGGTGTCCCCCATCCCGCAATTCCTACCGGCTGACCCATGTGCGCTGCGCCCAGGTACCCCGCCGGGCAGGGCTGAGCAGCCCGGACCCCGCGCTCTCCTGCGCCCAGATTCAGCGCTGCAGTCGCCAGGGAAAGTTTGCGCTCCGGACTGGCCGCGGCGCCCCGCCTGCTCTGCACCTCTCCTGGCCCACCACGCAGCCCGCGATTCGGGATCCCAGAGGAGAGGGGTGCGGGCTGAGCCGGGGCCACGAGTCCTCTCCCGCGCTCCCGCCCTTTTACCTCACTGTCCCGCCGGGCGCACGCAGAGCTCACCTTGCGTGCCGGCCGGTGGAGGCGAGCCATAGGTGACGGTGCATCCTCCTTCTCCGCCTGCTCTCGCCCGGCTGGCAGGGGCTGGAGGCTGCCAGCGCCAACCTTCCCGGCGCTCCGGGGCGGAGCAGCTCCTGCGCCCTGCGCTACCGCAGCGGCCCTTCAGTCAGCTCCGCGCCGTCCCCCGCAGAGCCCCCGGCGCACCAGCGCCTGCTTTTCCTTCCCCGAGCGCCTCAAGCAGTCTCTGGGCCGCAGGAACAGCCCTCTGAAGAGGCGCTTGGGTAGAGGCCACCAGACACTCAGCAAACGCGCCCTCGGCCCCGCTCGGCTGAGCGGGAGGGCGCAGGGCCCGCGGCTGGACCTGCAAGGGGAGTTCCGGTTCTGCTGAAGTTTCTTTAGGGCCTTCAGCAGCGTCTTCGGCGCCTCCTGTAGTCGCCGCTGTCCTCTTGTAGTGCAGGGATGGGAGGGCAGGGTCAGGAGCCCGGCAACAGAGGCCAGTTTCAAGAGCTTTGCTCCCCTAGGGCCGGCCCCCTCTCCCTGCCCAGGCCTGGGTCCCTCCCGGGTGCTCTGAGGCACCCCCGGACATGCGCATGTCTTAGTCGCTCCTGAAAGAAATTGGCTTGTTGTGGGCACTCTTTTCATCTCATTCATAGACAGGAGTGCATTGCTGCCGGACGGAAAGCCAGGGTCACATGGGACTCCATTAGAATGAAACCCTTACCTAATGCAGTATATATTTGGGGGTTTTCTGAAGTTCCATTTCTTAGCAAGAAGCCTCGGTGACAACGGGAAAGGGCCAGGGGCCAGGGGCCGCAGGTCCGAGAGCAGGTCTGGGGTGGCGCATCTGGGGTGGCAGGGCGGGATTTCCCTAGCAGGGCTTCCACGCCACGTTGGGCACTGCCTCATTAGCCACGCACATGGGGTCTTACTATGGTCATTACATAGGTGTCTTGTCCGTCCGAGTGATGCAGTTCCTGGGAGGTGAGGGTGGCGTTAATGACAGCTGGGTGGCAGCAGGGCCCCTTCAAACAACACAAGCAAGATGGGGCCAAAGCAGCACAGCCCATCGTCTCGGGGTTTCGGGGTCTTGCTTCCTCAGGAGGTGGGGGCCTCTCGACTGTAACACCCAGTGGAAAACGTTCAAGACTTACAGGAAAGCCACCAGAACATGATGGGGAGGTTTATTTACACCACTGTCCCCTTCCTTTTGTGAAACTGCATTGTTTATATTCTCTTTTAACAGAGTCATGGTAAGAAAAGGCAAATTCTTAACTCTCCTCCAGGAAAGATCTTTGACCTTCCAGTGTAGGAAGCCTCTCAGTTTTCCAGTTACACCTAATACAGTGTATTCCAAATCTAAGTTACCCACTAGTACTTCGGCACATTCCAGAAATTCTGAAATTTTCTGAAAAGGAAACTGGTAAGTCTATTCCAGGAGCGGGACATAAGTGTATAAATGTGCAAATATACAGGAAGCATTACTCTGAATACGCGTTTAGCCACATTATTAAATAACTGTTTCCAGGGGTTCTTCACAATATATGAATAAGTTGCTCATTTGAAAGACTTTTTAAATTCTAAAATGGATCATTGAACACGTGCATTTCTTCATTTTCTAATCTCTCAAAAGATGTATCACTAAGGTGAAATTCCTTGGTAGTCATTAAATTTTAAAAAGTTAACAACATGGTTTTATGATCAGCCTACTATAATTTTCACCTATTAGGTGGTGGAATTCTAGGCTTAGAATTACCAGCGACAGCTGCTCGCCTCTCAGGATTAAACAGCATAATGCAAATCAAAGAGTTTGAAGAATTGGTAAAACTTCACAGCTTGTCACACAAAGTCATTCAGTGTGTGTTTGCAAAGAAAAAAAATGTAGACAAATGGGATGACTTTTGTCTTAGTGAGGGTTATGGACATTCATTCTTAATAATGAAAGAAACGTCGACTGTGAGTATGTTCTTTTGGTGGATTATGTTTAAAACTTCCATGTTTTTTGGTACACTTTCTATCAGTTTTATGTCAACACAACACATATCATCTTGGTAAGAATTTCATTTTCAGTGTCAGAGCCTAAAATAGCTGGAGGTGGAGAAGCATGAGTGGAACATGTGCCAGAGAGCGCCCACCCTGTCCCCCAGTCAGGGGCAGGAACTGAGATGGGTGGGTGTGTTTGCATGGGTGGGTGTGGCAGAGGTGGCTGAAACGTGAATGCAGTGTCATCCTATAAGTGAGACAATGTGTTATTCGTCTTTCTGTGCTTGGCTTATTTCACCAAGCATGTTCTCCAAGTCCATCCATGCTGTCAAAAATGGCAGGATTTTTTTATTCATTAATGCTAAATAATATCCCACTGTGTGTGTGTGTGTGTGTGTGTGTGTGTATTTTTTTTCATTTCTTTATCCATTTATCCATTGACAGACATTTAGGTTGTTTCTATTACTTGGCTATTGTTAAAAATGCCCAAATGGACATAACAGTGCAGGTATGTTTTCCAGATATTGATTTTATTTCCTTTGGCTATATCCCCAAAGAAATGGGATTGCTGGGTATAGAGTGGTTGCCAGGGGCTGGGGGAAGGAGAGATGGGCAGATGTTGGTCAAAGGGTATAAAATTTCAGTTATGCAAGATGAATAAGTTCTGGAGATCCACTGTTCAACATTGTGAATATAGCTAACAACACTGCGATGTATACTTGACATTTGCTGAGGAGGTAGATCTTATTGTTCTCACCACACACATGAAAGAGGGCAGCTCTGCGAGGTGATGGGAATGTGAATGAGTTTGATTTTGATGGCAAAGTATACATATATTAGTCATCAAACTGAACACCTTAGAAACCAGATTTTACATCAATGAATGGTTGAATGAATAGATCTGCACTTCTGGATTTCTTTAAAAACGGGAAGACACTCCATAGCTTTAGCAACGCTGGGCACCCACCCATTCCCACCCTCCTGCACCGCCTGCATTCCACAGATACCTGACATGGGTCCTTAGAGGAACGTGATCTATCCTTTTTCACACTTTGCCTCCTTTGTGTAATTAGGAAAATCGAGGCAAATGGGGCTTTTTAAAGGATTTTAATTTTTTTCTAATTTCATTGTATCTATTTTGTCTTCACTAGTGGCTTATTTACTGTATCTGTATTTTACCTTATTTTATTTTGTGATGGCTCTAGGGTTACAGCCAGCATCTTTAACTTAGTATAGCCTACCTTTATTTTGTTTATTTATTTATTTATTTATTTTTGAGAAAGAGTCTTGCTCTGTCACCCAGGCTGGAGTGCAGTGGTGCGATCTCGGCTCACTGCAAGCTCCGCCTGCTGAGTTCAAGCCATTCTCCCCCTCAGCCTCCCCAGTGGCTGGGACTACAGGCACTCACCACCATGCCCAGCTAATTTATTTTATTTTATTTTATTTTATTTTTATTTTTATTTTTATTTTTAGTAGAGTTGGGTTTCACCGTGTTAGCCAGGACGGTCTCGATCTCCTGACCTCATGATCCGCCCGCCTCAGCCTCCCAAATTGCTGGGATTACAGGCACTAGCCACTGCACCTGGCTGAGGACATGTCTTTGAAAAGGTAGCATAACTCCTATTTCTAGCTGCTCTTGCAACTAAAAGTGGCTGTGTACAGAATAACTCTATTCCTCTATATCCAGTTTGGACAAACCAACTTTCCATTGATTTAAGCACACTTTCAGAATAAAGCGTAATTTCTTATCTCAGGAATTCCAAAGTCTAATGGAAGAAGCAAGCTTATACTGAATAATTTAGCAAAGCAGATTGTGCTTGGCAATAATAAAGTAATTCAATATCTGAAACATAAGAAAAGAAGGAAATATCTGTTTCATAGTTGTAATTAATTAGAACTTTACCATGCAGAATAGGTAGAGAGGCATTCCTCAAAAGATTAAGAGAGGTATAAAGTAAATGTAAATGTCAACCATAGGGGTTTTCTTAGGCAGAGAATCATGCTTTAGGGTAAATGAAGGTGATGCTGGTATTCAGGTTCCTTTGGAGAAGGCAACAATAAAAGTAGAGTTATCATTTATGAGATCCAAGAAGCCCAAGAAAAGATAATAAGAGCCCAAGCCACAGCAGGCTCAGCCTTTTTTTCCTAAATAAAAAGGAACGAATAGCTAAATGTGACAAAAGTCAAGGTATCTTTTAAGAAAGTTACACTTCCTCTGAACCACAACAGAAATCAAAGATAGTCACCCTACAGCACTCCTTGCCTCTCTTCCAAGGATACAGCTATGTATTGTTTTTTAAAAAAGGTAAAGGTAAAGAGACATGGTCACTTGACCATGTCTCTATCCAAGGTGAATTTCTCCAAAAGCACAACTTTGGGACACTTGTATGAGATATAGTTTAAACCCCACTGAATTTGATTTCTCACCCTCCCAGACACTTACCTTTATTATTTTCTCATATTTGTTTGCTTTTGTTTCCTTAATATAGTCTAGGAAATGTATCTGTGGGCTGTCCTACAGGAGAAGTTACAATGAATGGAAAAATGTGAAGAACCTTCTATTCTCCCAAGAGTATATGGCAAAGAGGGTGCAATTGCACCCAAAATATCAGTGTGGAAGGGTCACATAACTGATACTATAAAGTAACACATTGTCTTACAGAATTCTCATTCTTAGGCTAAAATATTATCTTCTTCATCAAACTTACTTGACTGCATGTTTGATGTTGTTTGAGTAAAATATAATACTCTTTTATTTCCCAAATGCACACACACACACACACACACACACACACACACATATTATATTATGTTTTGGGAAATATATGTGCTATAGTATCTATATTTATTCACTTCTTAAATTTGAACTTAATTAAAATGACAAAATTAATTTGCTGAAAGGAGTTGGTAAAATGATCAGCTGTATTCAGTCACATAACTATTGTTTAGTCTTAGTAATGAAAATAGAAAAAAAAAAACCAGCCAGGTGCAGTGGCTCACGCCTGTAATCCCAGCACTCTGGGAGGCCAAGGTGGGTGGATCGCCTGAGGTCGGGAGTTCGAGACCAGCCTGGCCAACATGGTGAAACCTCATCTCTACCAACAATACAAAAATTAGCTGGGCGTGGTGGCACGCACCTGTAACCAGCTACTTGAGAAGCTCAGGTAAGAGAATCTCTTGAACCTGGGAGGCGGTGCTTGCAGTAAGCCGAGATTGTGCTACTGCACTCCAGCCTGGGTGACAGAGTGAGACGCCACCTCAGTCAAAAAAAAAAAAGAAAAATGAATATAGAAAAAAACGACAGACGCTAAAAGCTAAGAAAATAGTGTGTTCATTTTGGAATCTAATTCAAAATTCATTATAATGAATTTTAACGGGCCACCAAAGGTATGTGTTGAAGTTCACTGAATATTATTCAATGTTTGAGAATTACTGACAGCACATATATTTCATTTGTAGCAATGTTTGATTTGTTTTGCATCCATATATTTGCATTTATTTAAAACAAAAAACATCAAAGTATATTTCATCTGTTATTTGGAAAAAACATTGAGTAACTAATTGTCCAAATATAGCTATTTTCTAATTTTTAATTAAAAATGCTTCCTGTTTAAAAAAATAACTTATTTCAAAATAACTGACATTTAATGTATTTACATTTTTTAAAGTGTTCACGCACATCTATTTAATTTCTAGATGTCTTGAAGGAATCGTCACTGTATCTGGAAGCCAGATGCCAAAGATGTTCAGTTATTATCAATGCATCTATGCATAAAGGATTGAAAATGATTCTTCATTCCATAATTTATCTAAATGTTCATTCCTTTGGAAAACTGTTTTCCACCAATAGTGACAAGACTTGGAACAAAATAAAATAGCAATATCATATGCATTTTCTATTTCTGCACTTTTCCACTTCTGGAAATAGTCATAGAATCATCTTGTGACAGATTAATATCATCCATGATCCTAAGCCACTAAGAATAAGTGTTAGATTCTTTGGGTTAAATTGCCATAAGGACTAAATTTATTTTTTTAACCAATTCCCTAAAGAATCAACTGATATTTCTGACATAGTTTTACAGCATATGTATCACCTCTCCATCCATTTTGCCTTAATTCTATTTCTTTTTATCCTTCACTGGTGAGGATGAGAAAACCTGGATGCATATGGGTATGGTTGATTTGAAAAGTACTTTTTAAACATTTGGAAGTTTTTCAAAACCAAAAACATATTTGCCAAGTGATCTTTTTCCCCTATATTTTAAATCCATGTGCAACTTAAAAGAAACTTAGACCATATGCTAGTTCAGATTCACTTATATTAAAATCATGAAAATTTTATTTAATAGCTCTTTGACACACAGGGAGTGTTTAAATTAAGCTTCTCTAAATTTTACATTTCTCAAAATACACTCTCTTTCCTATCTACCCTCAACTACTCCTCACTACTCTCCAAGAAAATATCAGGTTTAATTCAGGAGATGTAAGTTGGATGTTGTCAGTCCATCAACAATGATTAAGTAATTTAAAAAGCATTCTTTTCTTCACTTCTTCCCTAGATTTTTTGTTTCTTTGTTCGTTTAAATATCTCTGTGCAAGTTCTGAACAGTTTTATTTATATCAGGATCAATAATCTGAGGAGTGAAATAAATTGTTGCATTTGTTGCAATAAATGAGTTTATGCTTCCTTTACAGAACATTAAGGACATGAACTTTTAAGAACATTTTAATGTTTCACTATAAATGATACTTGAGCCTTGCATTAGAATACATAAGGTAAACTTATATAAAGAAAAAATAAAAATCTTCTCCTTCTCATCTGCATTTGCAATCCCACATGCACTGAAGTAATCAATGTTAATGGTTTTCTGTCCATTCGGCCACACCTCTAATGGATGGAATTTATGTAGTGTAATTCTTTGTCAGGTACAACTACACATGAGTAAAACTAGGTGTGATTTAGAAGTCAAGATTAGGATTTTTATCTAGTAGTGAAATGGGAAGGGAAAAGCAAAAGTAAAATATACATCAACTAATGGCAGAATGGTGTATAGAAGGGAGTCATCTGTATATATGACATCTGATGGCCCCGCCACTCAGCTAACCCATCCACACATGAAATAATAAGTAGACAAGTGCATTGAAAATTGTAAGTGTGACAGAAAGGTCACCACTTGATTGCTACTATTATATCGTTTTATTATTTTGTTCTCCCAACAATGTATAGCTCAAATTTATACTACAGGCTGTTCATATCCCTTAACAAAATATCCATTAATTTATGAATTTGATAAAATTCTAACTTACTGCAGTGCCCTACAAATAATAGTTTGGCCCATCTGTGGTGATGACTGTTCTGGAAGATCTTTCTGATGTTGAATAACTAATATTGTGTTTCAATGTTACTATTAGGTTGGTGCAAAAATAATTGCGATTTTTGCCATTAATCACAACTACATTTGCGCAAACCTAATAGTAATTTAACATTCTGTATCTAACATTTGTGGACACTGATCGAATATGCGATATTCTGGGGAGAAGTTGGTGGAAGAGATGTGTGTTGTTTTGTGAAAGATAGTATTCTGAGGGAAGGCAGAAAAGGGATATACATATAAGAAAATAGTGGATCTTGATCAGATGCACACTTGTTCCTATTTACAAGAAGTCTACTCTGTGTTACTGAACAAATCAACTTACATGAAGTCAACTAATTCCAAAGAATTTACCGTCTAGAGAAATTCACATTTGTAATAATAAATACTTTTCTTAATGACAGAAATTTTATAATATGTCTTTTTTACTTTATAGCTATAACCGTAGAGTTATAAAATCTAAATACAGACAAGCCTACCCAGTGTTTGATTATATTCAATGATGTTTAAAAGTAATGGCCTCTCTTTTGTTCTTACTGGGAAAATTATCATTAGCACAGTGCTTCATGCAGGCTCTTATTACTTCTATCTCCCATTGTTATGATTGGCAAAGCACAAAGCCATACTCAAATTGGAATGCTTGGGCACATTGCAGTATTTATCACAGGGTGGACTGGATACTGAGTTTCTTAATTTATAAATATTTCTTTCCAATGCAAAATTCATGAAGGCTTAATGTTGGGAAATGTCTGAATGGCTATAAATTCCCTTCCTAATTCCCTCCCCTCAATGCATACCCATTTTTTTTTGGCTCATTCTTAGAACTGTAGCTGTTCTTGAATCTTTGATGAGTTGAAGCTAATCCACATTCGGATTTTACAATCTCATATAATTGCCAAAATTCTACCCTTCAAAACACTTGTTTCTTTCTTTTTTTTCTCTTACATTTCCTCAAAGAAAATTAGTGAAAAAACAATTTTTTATTTGGTCTGAAACTTTATGGTGGAAATCTGAGGACAGGAAGAAATTTAGGGACTTGTTCATGCACTTTTGATTTGGCGAATGCCTGGAATATATTTTTTTCTCTCTGCACAATGCAAAGTAGTTGCACTCACAAAGTATCAATTAGAAAAAGAAATTCTTTCCACATTTCATCAGAGTTTTAAGTGGTTACACCACAATAATCCCCAGCTATTTGGGAAATGGTAAAAAAAAAAAAAACAACTTTGAAGATCAAGCCATCATTATTATTTTCACTAAAACCTAAAAATTCAGCCACAATATGTCAAACCAGTTGGGACAGGACTTCCTTCCACTAATTTAGTTTTTACTGCTGGATACCTGATGGGCTACTTACTGTATCAGGTGTCTCATAGGGCAAATTGTACCTGGAGATAAAAAAAAGAAGAAAAAAACAGGCTCCACCCCCTAGCAGCAGAATACAGCAGAACATTTAGGTACCCACAGAACATAAACCAAAATGGACTGTATCCTGGATTTTAACAAACATTAAGAATTTTTTAAAAACTGAAATCCTGTAGAATGTATCCTCCAGCCAAAATGGCATCAAATTAAAAATAAAAAAGTAAAATAACAGCAGAATCTTAAATACTTGAAAAATAAACAGCATACTTTTTTAGTTCTTTTTTTTACATTTTTATTTATTTTAAGTTCTGGGGTAGGTGTGAAGGATGTGCAGGTTTGTTACATAGGTAAATTTGTGCCATGGTGGTTTTCCCTACCTATCAACCCATCACCTCGGTTTAAGCCCAGCATGCATTAGAGATTTTTCCCAATGCTCTCCCTCTCCCTCCCCCATCCACAGGCCCCAGTGTGTGTTGCTTACTTCCCTGTGTCCATGTGTTCTCATTGTTCAGCTCCTACTTATAAGTGAGAACATTAGATGTTTGGCTTTCTGCTTCTGCATTAGTTTCCTGAGGATAATGGCTTCCTGTTCCATCCATGTCCCTGCAATGGACATGATCTCCTTCATTTTTATGGCTGCATAGTATTCCATGTTGTATGGGTACTGCATTTTCTTCATCCAGTCTATTACCAATGGGCATTTAGGTTGATTCCATGTCTTTGCTATTGTGAATAGTGCTAAACAGCAAGCACACTTCTAAGGAGAACGTCTCAAGGGAAACAATTAAATATATTAAACTGAATAAAAATAAAAATACAACATATCAAACTTGATTTAACACAGTTGACGTCAGTGTTGAGAGGAAAATGTATTTCACTAAATATATATAATAGAAAAGTAGAAATCTCTCAAATAAAAATTCAAGCTATCACATCAAGAAAGTAGAAAATAGTAGCAAAATAAAATCAAAACAAATATAAGAAAGAATATAATAAGGATAAGAGCAGAAATAAATGAAACAGCCAAAAGAAAACAACAAAGAAAAGCAAAGAAATAAAGCTGGTTCTTTGAAAATATCTATAAAATTGACAAACCTTAACTAATAATGATAAAGAAAAAAGGGATGTCATAAATTACCAATTTCATGAATGAAATGGGCTAACATTAGCAGTAGAACTCAGCAATGTACACAAAGAATTACACAGCATGTCCCAGTGACGTTTACTCCAGTGACTGCACACCTAGACATTCATCCCACTGAAATAAAAACTTTTTTTTTGCACTTGCAATTGGCTTCCCCTCTGCTTTTGTTGGCAGGAGCAGGTCGGTGTCCCAGGCTTAGAATCCATTTTTCTCTCTCTCCGTCTGTCTCTCTGTCTCCGTCTCTGTCTTTGTCTCTGTCTCTCTCTCTCTCTCTTTCTTTTTTTGACAGAGTCTTGCTTTGTCACCCAGGTTGCAGTGATGCGATCTTGGGCTCACTGCAAGCTCCGCCTCCCAGGTTCACGCCATTCTCCTGCCTCCCGAGTAGCTGGGACTACAGGCGCCCACCACCATGCCCGCTAGTATTTTGTATTTTTAGTAGAGATGAGGTTTCACCGTGTTAGCCAGGATGGTCTTTATCTCCTGACCTTATGATCCGCCCGCCTCAGCCTCCCAAAGTGCTGGGATTACACGCGTGAGCCACAGTGCCCGGCCAGAATGCATTTTTCCTCCCACACCAAAGCACCTGCAGTATGGGTGAAGCAGCCTGGAGCCTGGCTGCATAAGCCTGCACAGCAGGAGGGTCCCAGCAGGAGGGTAGAGGTGCCACTGCCTGGGTCCAGCTCACAGGCTGCCAGGGAGGCTCCGATCTGGCTCCCTGGTGCTGGCAGTGTCCTGTTCCCAGGATCTGCACGTGGGGGTGCCTTCCTGCATCTCCCCATCAGTGGTAGGTGCTCCTCCCAGCCCCCTCTTGCAGGCCTGGAGACAGCGGCCTGCACCTCAACCCTACTGCATGCCAGTGAAGCGAAGCACCCCGGGCCAGAAGCCCCACAGCTGTTGGCCCTGGTTTGGACACCAGGCAGGGGGCACCACAGCAGGAGCTAGCAGCCCAGCCCCGATTCTGTGGCCCCGAGTGCCCCGTTGCTGATGGCCCTGTGTTCTGGGTGCGGACCAAGGAGGAGCAGGTGTGGAAGGCGCCTCAGGCAGGCCCTGGGCTCCGTGGGCGTCTTGTGCTCGGAGATTTTGAGGCCATTTGCATCCAGCTCCGCCAACCAGAGCTCTAAGCTGCAGCGGCGGCCACCCGCAACAGCGCCACCACTAGTGTCTTGGGGGCTTTCCTCAGAGGAGGCTGTCAGCATCCTCGAGTTCCAGGCGCTCTAGCCCCAGTCCTGCTTCAAGAGGCTTTTTCCCACCACAGGCTTCTCTCCTCAGTGGCCAGAAAGCTGGGCCAACTCCCATGAACTTTGCCAGTAACGCAAGGCTGTCACTGACATTTGTGGCGCCAAGACTTGCGCACGCGGATTGCACACATCGGCCACTTCCTGGACCACGTGCAATGACACGCGCACGCCTCACGCACACGCCGCATAACGTCTGAGGCGCGCGCCCCGCACGCGCGCCCCGCACGCGCATAACGGCTTGGCTTACCTGTAACGGGTACGCTTCGCTTGGCGTTCCTCCCTTGGCCTTGCGTTCCTAGCTTGGCTTGGCTGTTAGTAGCTTTGCCTGGTGTTTCTTGCTTGGATTGGCGTTTCCTCCCTCGCATTCCTTTGCTGGACTTGACCTTTTCTCTGCTGGGTTTGGCATTCCCTTGACTGGGCTGGGTGTTTCCTTGGGAGGGGGGGCTTGGCCTTTCCTGGGGTGGGCGTGGGGTCCCCCTGGTGGGCGTGGGCTTTCCCCGGGTGGGTGTGGGTTTTCCCTGGGTGGGGTGGGCTGGGCTCCCTTGCTGGGCTTGGCAAGTTTTGGCTGGGATTGACCTTTCTCTTCAAACAGATTGGAAACCCAGGGTTTCCTGCTAGTTGGTGAAACTGGTTGGTAGACGCGATCTGTTCGCTACTACCGGCCTCCCCTGGCTGTTAAAAGCAGATGGTGGCTGAGGTTTGTTCAATGCCCGCTGCCTCTGCTGTGAAGAAGCCATTTGATCTCAGAAGCAAGATGGGCAAGTGGTGCCACCACCGCTTCCCCTGCTGCAGGGGGAGCGGCAAGAGCAACATGGGCACTTCTGGAGACCACGACGACTCCTTTATGAAGACGCTCAGGAGCAAGATGGGCAAGTGTTGCCATCACTGCTTCCCCTGCTGCAGGGGGAGCGGCACGAGCAATGTGGGCACTTCTGGAGACCATGACAACTCCTTTATGAAGACACTCAGGAGCAAGATGGGCAAGTGGTGCTGTCACTGCTTCCCCTGCTGCAGGGGGAGCGGCAAGAGCAACGTGGGCACTTGGGGAGACTACGACGACAGCGCCTTCATGGAGCCGAGGTACCACGTCCGTCGAGAAGATCTGGACAAGCTCCACAGAGCTGCCTGGTGGGGTAAAGTCCCCAGAAAGGATCTCATCGTCATGCTCAGGGACACTGACATGAACAAGAGGGACAAGCAAAAGAGGTAACCGGGCCTGGGATGGGAAGAGGCGGGACATGGGGGGATGATGGGGACATACCCTCCTGGCACAGGGAGGGAGGAGCCAGGCTTTCTCTTCCTCCGCAGGCCCCACACCACCCTGGGTGTGGAAACCTCAGAGATGTCAGGGCCCAGGTCCCTTTATAAACAGCAACACAAAAACAAAACTTTAGCTGATTTCCAATCCAATTATAATTTCCCTTATAGAACACTAATAGACGGTTTTAAAGTGATTTAACTCGCAAAATTAAGTCGATGCAGCAGATTATTTTTAATGTACACATTTTAAAACAATGTTCTATACACTATAGAAAGGTGTATATTGAGAACTAAGTCCCATAATATATCAACTTCTGGGCTAAATATTTTTCAAATAAAATCCAATATGGATTTTATATCGATGTGTACCCTATGTAAACACGTTCTTTACTGAGTAACCTTAAAAGGAAACTGAAATGGGAAGTATGGTTCATATCTTTGAATAGGAAGGTTCGTTTTTCTTAAGATGTGAGCTTTTTCTGTGTTTATCACTTTTACATAAGCCAAATAAAAATAGCAAAGTCTTAGTGTCTTTAAATTGCACATGATGTATTTTATCATTGTGATAAATTGATTTTTTGTAACAGAATGGAAAAAGACTTGCTTTTCCAGATATCAAAATGTGCGTGTGTTATTTCCACAAATTGTTTACTAACAGCTGAAAAGACATAAGTGAACAGAACAGAATAGGAAATCCAGAAATACCCAAATATATGTAAGAATTTAGCACTTGATAATGGTGATGTTTCATATTGGTAAAACAAGGTGAATTATTCATAAATTAAATGCATGCTGTTTGGAGAAAACTACCTAGATTTTTATGTCACAAAAATAAGTTCCTGGAGTATAGATTAAAAATTTTAAAGATACAAAAGGAGAAAAGTACCAGAAGAAAACACAAATGCCTATTTATATGTGCAAATATTTATTTATTTTTCTGAGACAGACTCTCACTCCATAGCCCAGGCTGGAGTGCAGTGGTGCAATATCAGCTCACTACAACCTCTGGTTCCTGGTTCAAGTAATTCTTTGCCTCAGCCTACCAAGTAGCTGGGATTACAGGCACCCACCACCATGCCTGGCTAATTTTTTGTGTTCTTAATCAAGACGGGATTTCACCATCTTTGCCAGGCTGGTCTTGAACTCCTGTCCTTGTGATCCACCCACCTCAGCCTCCCAAAGTGCTGAGATTACAGTCATGAGCCACTGAAACCGGCATATATATGCAGATATAATAAAATAAGCTCAATTTAAAATTGGGCAAGGTACTTTTTTGCATGTCTACCAGTGACCTGTGTACATAGGAAAACATAGCATTCCTGCTAAGAGAAGGAATTTAAGTTAGAAGAGGAATGAAAGACTATTTTCTGTTTAAGTTAGAAGAGGAATGAAAGGCCAGCCATGGTGGCTCATGCCTGTAATCCCAGCACTTTGGGAGGCCAAGGCAGGTGGATCACGAGGTCAGGAGTTTGATACTAGCCTGGCCAGCATGGTGAAACCCGTTTCTACTAAAAATACAAAGAATTAGCTGGGCATGGTGGCATGCACCTGTAATCCTAGCTACTCAGGAGGCTGAGGCAGGAGAATTGCTTGAACCAGGGAGACGGAGGTTGCAGTGAGCTGAGATTGCACCACTACACTCCAGCCTGGGTGATGGAGTGAGACTCCATCTCAAAAAAATAAATAAATAAATATAAAGGAATGAAATACTGTTTTGTGTCCACAAAGTTTGTGAGGGTGAAGAACAGTGGTACTTATATACCTGCTGAAAGTTTAAGTTGCTGCGGCTTTTCAAATAGACACTTTGATGGTAAGAACCACATTTTTAAAATGTGTATGCCTTTTACCCATCTGTTCCATTATACTGAAATATCTATATGAAACAGACACAGCTGTTTTTCTTAGTATTGCTTAAAATAGCCATGTATTTAGAAGAACTCATATAAAGATTTTATGAACAAATTTCAGTGCATCCATAGGATGGAATAATATGTAACCATTGAGGGTGTCAGTAGATACAGAGATATGTCGGCATGCAGAGATGTACTTTGCTGTATCAAGTGAGAAAAAATCAGTTTGTTATACATATACACAAATAGAATCTGCTCTTGTGTTAGCTGGAAATATGTGGAAAATATAATCAAACTTATTTCTGGGGATTTGTAAGTGAAGTTTTTCCCTTTCTCTTATCTGTGATTTCTGCAATGAACATCTGCAAAGTTTTAGTTAAGTTTCATTAGTAATGAAATAATCCTTGGGAAGAGAAGGAATATGCTACTTGCATAGATACAAATAATTTCTTACATTCTATTATTTATTTTTATACCTGTGGATGGCTATCTTCTGTGAACTTTTACCCTCTTCAGAAGTAGAGGGCTTCTGTTTACCTCTTCTGGTAGATTTTATTGTGTATACATCTTATTATATATAGATTGATGTGTAAATAGTATGGATTAATTATTTTAGTTTAGTTATATATTTATGAAAACTAAAATAGCAAATATAAATGATCGTTACTATCGCAAATGTATTGCTCTACTCAACAGGAGTTTTCTTTAAAAAATATTGAACTTCCAACCTATGTTTATCCATTCTTTCAATCCGTTTAGTCATCAAACATAAGCCAGACACCTATTATATGGCAGGCATATTCTGCTATCTCTCAGGATCCTTCCACCTTTGAAAACTTCATGTTTACCTGCTGCACCTGAGCAAGCTGAGAGAATCAAAATTGGGGCATTAGGACTTAATCTCAATTGAAGCTTTTCCTCCCTCCTTTCAAACAAAAGCACTTCTGAAGGTGGAAAATAGTAAAAGATAACCCTTAACTGCCCTTTTGAAAATGTATAAGACTTGGGTAAACACTGTTTTAGCTGTTTTAAGAACTTAAATGTGGTACATAAACAGCATGGAATACTATGTAGCCATAAAAGAAAGAACAAGAGCCTGTCCTTTGCAGGGACATGGATGGTGTTGAAGGCCATTATCCTTAGCAAACTAACATAGGAAGAGAAAACCAAATACTGCATGGTCTCACTTATAGGTGGGAGCTAAATGAGGAGAACACACAGACACCTAGAGGGAAGCAACACACACTGGGGCCTATCAGAGGGTGGAGGGTGGGAGGAAGGAAAGAAGCAGGAAATAGAACTAATGGGTACTAGGCTTAACACCTGAGTAATGAAATAATCTGTACAGCCAACCCTCTTGGAACACGTTTACCTATGTTAACCAACCTGCACATCCTGCACCTGTATCCCCGAATGTAAAAGTTGAAAAAAGCTCCACAAATAGTTTCATAAATCCATTTTAAAAAGAGAAAATTTATAACAGTCTTAAATCCTAATATGAATGATTGGAAATATCTGATGTACATACGTTGTATAAATCTAAGTATTGAAAAAAATGAGCCCATGCTATTCATTTGAATTTCAAGATTTCTTTGGCTTAAAGTTTTTGAAAACCAAAGTAAGAAATAGATTATTTTAGAAAATTGTTTTTGTTTTCACCTCAGCCCTCTTATTCCATAGTTCTTTTAAGAACTAAAATTTATCTAAATGCTAGTCATCTGACTGGAACTGCCCCAGACCTGTTATATTATAACATATTCTACTTAATGTAAGGCACCAGGGATTGTATGATGCCCCATTATTTTATGTCTCACTAAGAAAATTATTTAAATGCTGCCAATTATAATTATAGTAAATCATGAATTAATAAGTGGTATTTCAGTGTAAGAAATGTTAAAACATGGAGACAATGATCATCTTAGACTCAATAAAATACAGTACAACGCTACCTGTAATCTTTAAAATGTACCTGAAAGTGTAGGTATAATTGTATCGTTTCACTTAATTCAAATGTTGTCTTTAGTGGTATTAGTAAAAATTATAATATCTTACAAGTTTTGAGCTGTTATTTGTGTTAGGAACTATTCTATATTTTGTGTAGAGTCTTATTTAAGCATTACAGTGGTTTCCTCTGAGAAACTGACTATTTTCATTCCCATTTTATTGATGAGGAAATTGAGACACAAAAAGGCTAAGCAACAGCTAGGAAGCGACAGAGCTTCAAGTAGGATTCCAGCCCAAGTTGAATGTCATCCAAGAGCTATGCTCTTTCTATTCAAATAGGCTGCTCTTTCATTAATACAGTGACTAATGAGAGGTAATAAGTAGTGTGCTTTCTTCAAAGGAAAATTGAGTTTGTTTTGAAGGCAGAGTAATAGGCTATTCAGTGTTTGCAACTACATGAATCATTAATGTGGCATTAGCTAGTGCACTACAATTTCCTGAAGTCTTCTCACTCTCATAGGACTGCTCTACATTTGGCCTCTGCCAATGGAAATTCAGAAGTAGTACAACTCCTGCTGGACAGACGATGTCAACTTAACGTCCTTGACAACAAAAAAAGGACAGCTCTGATAAAGGTATGCAGTAGTCAACTATATCAGCGTGAGATGGGTTTGATTTCAATAGATAGCATAAAAATGAGTTTTCTCATTTAAATATAACTAGTTGGTGAAAGCTGTGGAATGTTATTTTGAATTCCTAGGACTTATAATTTGTTTTTGGTCTAATACTGACAGGCCGTACAATGCCAGGAAGATGAATGTGTGTTAATGTTGCTGGAACATGGCGCTGATGGAAATATTCAAGATGAGTATGGAAATACCGCTCTACACTATGCTATCTACAATGAAGATAAATTAATGGCCAAAGCACTGCTCTTATATGGTGCTGATATTGAATCAAAAAACAAGGTATAGATCTACCAATTTTATCTTCAAAATACTGAAATGCATTCGTGTTAACATTGACCTGTGTAAGGGCCAGTTTTCCGTATTTGGAAGCTCAAGCATAACCTGAATGAAAATATTTTGAAATGACTTAATTATCTAAGACTTTATTTTAAATATTGTTACTTTTAAAGAAGCATTAGAGGGTACAGTTTTTTTCAGTGCACTTGTGGTTAATGCTTTTTAAAAAAAAAACACTGAATTTGTAAAAGGTAATACTTTTTTTTTTTCAATTTTTCCCTGTCAAGTTTTTTTTCCCCTAACAAATGTAAAATGACAAAATTTGCCCTGGAAATAGGTTTTACATTAAAACTCCAAGAAAACTTAAACATGTTTCAGTGAATAGTAATCCTGCTACTTTGGCAAATTCCTAAAAAAACACTAATAGATATGAGGTGATGTATCTCTCAGTGGCAAGGCTTAAGATATTTCTGATTGCTCATGAGGCAGAATTGGAAAGGGAAAAATGCAGCAATCAGAAATACCAAGGCCAACTTGGAAATTAGGTAATGGGGGAAAAGACCATGAAGAGGTTTTTTTTTGTTTTTGTTTTTGTTTGTGTGTGTGTGTGTGTGTGTGTGTGTGTTGTTATTGTTGTTCATTCATTTGTTTCCTTTATATGGTGAGACAGGGTTCTTTTCCATTTTAGAGAATGACAGTTTTCAGTTTGGGAGAGGGAGTTAGTGGGTTGTAAACTGCCTAGAGATCAATTTTAGGAGGCCTCTGAGGAACCAGACTGGCAGTGAATATGTGGTAATGTAGTGGGAAACCCTTGAGTAGAAGGAATAACAAGTAATTAACCAACTTAGTATACTATTCTGGTAGAAATGGCCAATTAGAGTCTCAACTCTGCTTTCAATTCTAGAATGTCTTGATGGGAAGGTGGGAGATAAGGGGCTTATAAGTAAAAAGATCAGGTTGGATTTTGAGTTTACTAGACCTTGTTCTACTCTTACCGGGGAAAATTTTGTGGTGTTTTCAGCAAATGAGTCTCTCTCCTACTCTTTCCTCTTTTTGGCCAAATCCTCAAATGATAAAGGGAATTGTTTATGTGATGAGAGATGAGACTGAAATAATTGTCTATTGCACTAGCTTCCAGCTAGAGTTGTGCATTCCAGTTACCTCAGGAAAATTTTTAAATAATCTTCAAGTCTAGGTTTTCCCCTGAAGATTTTGATAGAGTAAGTCTAATAAAGCCTGGATATGTATGTTTAAAAATGTTTCCTTGAAGCCAGGCATGGTGGTGCATGGCTGTAGTCCCAGCTGCTAGGGAGGCTGAGGTGGGAGGATTGCCTGAGCTTAGGAGTTCTAGTCTAGCCTGGTCAACATAATGAGACCCTGTCTCTAACAACAACAACAACAAATTTCTCAAAATCCGGATACACTCCTGCTTAACCACTGAATACATAAGTGTAATATGTAAATTCTTATATCTCAGAAACTTCAGATATTTCTAGAAGAGTTGGAGTTGGATATGTGCTAATTCCTTTAAATCTTTCCTTTCCAATAACATTAATCTAAATTTTTGTTTGTTTGTTTTTGAGATGGGGTCTCACTCTGTTCCCCAGGCTGGAGTGCAGTGGTGCGGTCACAGATCACCACAGCCTTGACGTCCCTAAGCTCTGGTGGTCCTCCAATCTGTTTTTGTATTTTTTTTTTTTTTTAGTAGAGATGAGGTTTTTGCCATGTTTCTCAGGCTGATCTTGAACTCCTGGGCTCAAGTGAATCACCCACCTCAGGCTCCCAAAATGCTAAGATTACAGGTGTGAGCCACCATTCCTGGCCTAGTCTGACTTATCTCTGTCGTTGGGACATTAAAATAAATATTATTGGCACTATCTATCAGCTTACAGAATAATACCTTTTCCTTTCTACCATCAGTTATTCACTGCCATTCAGAAGGTCTTTAGAAATTTGCAGTGAGTAGTCTTCCAATAAGTAGAGGATGGCTCTCTCAGGACTTTGTGTCCCTTTGTTCAATCATTCAAGTGCTTAGGTCAGTAAGTCGTTTTTAAGAGCAGAGTTTTCTCAGAATTGTAGCAAATTCTAAACCTTTTTTGTCAATTGAAGCTATATTGTGGGCTATCCAGTATGTCTCTTAAGTTTGTAGAGCTTTGGCTTAATCAGGATGGCAGGTTTAAACACTCAAAACCATGGAGTTATTAAGAATACAGATAGGAAATCTCTTAGTTTCAGTAATCCTATGAACTGATTATCTATCTAGTTAACAATCTGGAAAAATTAAATACAAATAGATTTTAAATGAATAAATGTTGGAAAAAATTCTTGAAATGGGCAGTGTGAGTATTAATAGCAATATTTATTGCATGTTGGAGCTTGAACTTTGGTAAAACATGTGAAACTAAAGAAATATTTTACATTCAAATTCTTGCTTTATACACAACAATTTTGTCTTAGGATTGGATAATAATAGAGATAAAAGATACAGCCCCTGCCCTCAAGAAGCTTTTTGTTTAAATGAAAAAAAAATCATCCAAAAGTGCCATGCCAAATGCTCATTTAGAAACAAAGAGTCTTGGAAACAGTAAATGTTTAAAGTGAGTTTTTGAGATGATCAGATTTAATGTGGTGAGGCAGAGAAGGGATGTTTCCAAGGGAAGGAGTGGCACGTGGGAAAGTACAGAAGAGTGAGAAGGAAGCGACCAAATTTTATTTACTTTCTGTGAGTGTAAGTCCATAAGCTTCCAGTTCAGTTGAGAGATACATAATTTTTTGAATTACATATTGTTTTTGTTTTATATTGTTTTACAGTGTGGCCTCACACCACTTTTGCTTGGCGTACATGAACAAAAACAGGAAGTGGTGAAATTTTTAATCAAGAAAAAAGCTAATTTAAATGCACTTGATAGATATGGAAGGTATGGTTATTTCTTTTAATCTGTGTGTTGTTCTAGATTGATAGCAGTCACTCAAGTCATAAATAATAAATTAATAAGATCAAATTATACTTATTGGGACATAGTGATCAGTATCAACACAAATCAGTTAAGTAGAAAAGCAATTATTTGGACTGGGCAACATAAAGAACTGTTTTAGTAGGATTCATCTTCTCTTATTATATTGACTGATGTTATTTGTTGTATGATGTTTTTGGTTACATGATCTTATGTTAGCTAAAGGGATTTCATATTAATTTTATGAAGTTTGAACTTTAACTTTCAGTTTACTTTATGACTCAGTATTGAACTTTTTAACCCTTTCTAGTAGGTTTTAACCTCTGTATCTTATATGCTTTTCCACTAAATATGCTGTATTAAACATAAATAGGAGTTGAAAATCCTTTTGTCTTTTCAATGACTCTGCTTTAAGTTGCTTTCTTTGAAGAATATTAATGTTAGCTTATCCCTACATGACAATTAATTGCTATTCCCACATACTGTGGGTTCAACAGCTTTTTTCCTTTTTTATTTCCAGTGTATTTTGATGTTTTTATTTTTAGTTGGTATGGAGAGAGGGAGTGAAGATAGTTTTAAGTGGATACACTTTTCCTTTAATGAAGGCAAGCTGTAGGTGGGTGATAAAGAGAAAAGAGCTACGCTTTGGATTCACACAAGACTGGGTTTAATTCCTAACTTTCTTACTTGCTACGTGTGTGACATTGGGAACGTGATTTACCACCCAATATGTTGTCATATGTGAAAAGTAGGAGAATATATCCTTCAAAGTTGGCTGTGCATAAGCAAGAAAGATACGTGTGGCATTTAATTCAGTGCGTAGCACATGCTTATTGGCATCATTAACTGAAACTCCTGTGACTACTATTCTTACCATTATTATTAATATTACTGCTTTCAGCATGCAGAGAGCTCTTATTTATCTTAGCCCCTAGCTAATTTTCTATTACAGCATATCAGTCTAGGGAAGCTGTGACAAAATCTTCACTTAAATCTTTGTCCACTTCAGATAAGTGGCCCTAGCATTGTTTCTTGCCCATCAAAGGACTTTAAATTAGTAGCTTCTGCTATGCAATACCCCACTGAGATAAGAGGTTTCCTTTTTGTCCCTTCCTTTTAACCTTGGTGGTATTTTACAAAGATGAACTCTTGAGCACCCAAGATGCTTATGTCTTTTAGCGCATGTAAATGTTTGATTCTGCATGGACAGGCAAGATGTCAAATTGGTAAAGTATATCAAATTAGCTTTTAAAATAACTTTATTACAGTTCCTAAAGGAGAAATTATCTCTGTAATTTTAGAACTGCCCTCATACTTGCTGTATGTTGTGGATCAGCAAGTATAGTCAATCTTCTACTTGAGCAAAATGTTGATGTATCTTCTCAAGATCTATCTGGACAGACGGCCAGAGAGTATGCTGTTTCTAGTCATCATCATGTGTAAGTGTTTACATGAAAAGGCTAGTTAATGCTAAATTGAGGTTTAAAATAATTATAACAATTGCATCTTACATATCAGGTGAGATGTCATAGTTTGGTTCAGGTAGTTTTAGAGTGGCAGTGAGTTAGTCCCCTGCATCAGCCAGAAATCAGACAAAAAGCAAGACAAGTTAGAAGTACCAATGGGTGCAGGATTCTTTACCTCAGGACTTTTAAGACCTTTATCCTTAGAGATCCCAATATTGTTCATTTCATCCAAGTATAACACCTATGCATGGCATAAAAAAGAGTATCACATCTTTGATTTTTCTGATTAGTTATTTGGGTCTTGAAATGTCCAGTTTAGCAGAAAGCCTTGTACTGTCTTCTGGGGACTGTCTCCTACATACTCCTTGAATTTTTCAAGAACCAAAGGGGTTCACTAAATCCAAGGAAGACAGTCCCTTTTATCAAGTCAGAAGGAGGAGAGAAAAAAGGACATTCCAATCATTCTGTTGTTTCCATTGTTTCTGTTGCTGCATTGTTGCCACTCAAACTGCTTCTGCTGCCTGGTAATTGTTGACCTTTGACACCAAGGTGCCCTTACTGATTCAGATCCCTCAAGTCTTCATGGGGATTCACACAGTGACTTTGAAGTTACAACATTTTTTAGTTCCCTTACCTATGCTTATATGCTCAGCCATTGTTCCCAAAGCACCAGCACCCTGCTCTGGCCGCTGGGCATCCTGACTTTATCCGCACACAAAGTGAGCAAATTGACCCTTCCTCCTGTATTCAGAACCTAATGTGGAACCCACATCTTAGCTAAGAATTAGCTGAGACCTTCATGGTAAGAGATCCTTTCAGGCCGTTGTTGGTCTTTTCTCTAGCAGATATGAGGTGGGCTTGTTATAAAGGGTCAGAGGGGTTCAAATAATGTGGCAGAAAGAGATCAGTGTTTGTTTCTTCTTCTTTGCTACCAGATCTACACTGTGAGGCACCTTTATATCCTGTGTAGAACCTTAGGCAGTAGAAAGTCCCATATGAGCCTTCCCCAAGCAGTGGCTCCCAGCTGTGGTTGGCCCCTTGAGTGATCTGATTTACATGATAATGAAAATCGTCCAAGCTACTTCCATCTCTAGCTCAAGATTTTAAAATATTTTCAAATTGTACCTCACAGGAAGCCATTGAAGAGAATTCTCAGAATCTCAAGTGGGTTAAGTAAGTAGTGATGAGTCATGGACAAGAGCCAAGCCTTGCCCATGACTCATCACAAATCATGTGTAAAAGTAGGGCTTTGTGCCTGCTTTGGCGGCACATATCCTAAAATTGGAACAATACAGAGAAAGTTAGCACGGCTTCTGCATAAGGAGGCAGCACAACTCTTTGAAGCATTCCATATTTTGTGCAGTCACTGGAAGATCATTTCACTATTTGCTGACTAGCTCTAAGGAAACAGTGTGAATCAAAGCAAAATGGGTGCCACCAAAATATCGAAATGTGATTTGTGCTGCAAAAATAGTCATGGAAGATGGTCTGTGAGATGATTTAGAGCTCAATAATGTGTTCAGTGCAAAATATATTATAAGTATGTACGTCAAAAATTAGAGAATGTCAATTTGCAACTTCTTCATGAAAACTGAAAAAAAATAAAAGTAGAGTTTTGGTCTCCCATGTCAGCTGGAATTGAACATCAACATAAAGCATTATCCTAACAAACATCTGCTGGCTCAGAGTTTGAGTCTGTAGAGAAGGATCATTGCTCCAAGCCAGGTCTTAACATCCATTGGTTTTTCTGCCCTTAGCACAACAAATTGGTCAACTCCGTAATAGTGGACAATCACATTATCTACTTTAATGAGAGATTTATGAAAAAATTTAGTTACAAACTATGACACAGTTGAGATGCCCTGAATGATAAGCCATAAGGAGTAGGACAACTAAGAAGCAAAATTAGGACTTAATAACATTTTCTGAAAACTACAGCATTTGCATATTAGAACCTATGAACAAAATACACATGGGGTTTTATTTGGGATTCCAAGATAATTTTAGTCATAAAGTTTAGGAACAGATTATTCCATTGCTTTACTATTTCTCTGAGCATTTAAAAAATGTTACCTTGTTAAATCTTTATAACAACCTAGTGAAATAAGGCAGCAAAGTCCTCACTTTGTAGAAGAAGACATTGAGCCTAAGAGAAGAAAGTTGTCCAAGAACAAATAGCTGTTCATTATGGAGCTAGGACTTATGCAGAGTTGGGACACTTTCTATTATGTCATGCTAATGCATGCTGATTTACTGGGTCACAGTGCCCTTGATTTATGAGCATTTCACCTAATTTTTTTTCTTCTTTAATTAGAAGCTTAAAGAAAAGTTTGTAGAATGTACTCATAAGTGTATGGGATAATACTGTTAAATTCTGATATTATGATATTGTTTGAAATACTCTAAGAATTTTACATTTGGTAAGTATTTTTTATATCAGTATTAAAATAGTAATTTGGTTTATTACATTTTTATACATAGAATTTGTGAATTACTTTCTGACTATAAAGAAAAACAGATGCTAAAAATCTCTTCTGAAAACAGCAATCCAGGTAAGACTTGTGATAATGAATTACTTTAGGTCAGTTGTCCACAATGTTTTTGGCATCAGGGACCGGTTTTGTGGAAGACAGTCTTTCCATGGGCTGGGGGAAGGTGGGGATGGTTTCAGGATTATTCAGCCATGTTTCATTTATTGTGCTACTTTATATTATTATTACATTGTAATATATAATGAAATAATTATACAACTTACCATAATGTAGAATCCGTGGAAACTCTGAGCTTATTTTTCTGCAACTAGATGGTCTCATCTGGGGGCAAAGTGAGACAGTGACAGATCATCAGGCATTAGTTTCTCATATGAAGCACACAACCTAGATCCCTCAGATGAGCAGTTCACAATAGGGTTCATGCTCCAATGAGTATCTAGTGCTATCACTGATCTGACTGGAGGCAGAGTTCAGGCGGTAATATGAGCCATGGGGTGTGGCTGTAAGTACAGGTGAAGCTTCCCTGGTTTGCCTGCTGCTCACCTCCTCCTGTGTGGTGTGGTTCATAATAGTCCATGGACTGGTACCAGTCTGTGACCTGGGAGTTGTGGACCCCTGCTCTGGGTGGTCCTACCATAGATAAAAAAATAAAAGTAAGGAATTTTTGATCACAAAAGAACGCCAAAGCACAAGTCATGTTACATATCCTTGTCCCAACAAGGTCTCACTCTTACTGACTTGATTCCTCCTCATTTGAAGTTGGAAAGAGATACATTTACTTTGTTTGAACAAGATGTGTTCTCTACCTGCTGGTCAATTGTCTTGATAACAGTAATTTTGTTAGAACAAGATGCTCTGCTACCATTTACCAAAAGATTGTCATAATAAATATACAAATTGCCCAACTCTAGGCTCAGCAGATTATAATAAAAGTAGAAAAATGCTTCACATTAACAAAAATACTAGTATGCCACCTGGTTGTGGACACCTAATACATTGTATAATCCAAACTGGATGAGGACACCTTTAATTTAGCCATCTATTTATCAAAAAGCTTCTGTAAGTTAGGTTTTATAAGTTGCAGAAGACAAAGATGGAATAGATGTAGTTTTGATCTTTAAGGTGCTCATAATAGAGGTGTCTCTATTTCATTTCTGTGCTTTTTCAACAGAATTTACAAAGAAAACATTTCTATGTTTTCACTTGTCCACTTAACAAATAACTATCAAATGTCTTTTAGATACTAATCATTTTTCTAATGCTACAGAACACACACAATTAAAAATACAGACAGGAGCTTGTTATTATCATTGTCATTTTTATTATTTTACTACTTTATTCAGTGCTTACTGTGTGCTAGTTGCCAACTGGAAGCTTAAAATTATGATTTATTATGTATTAATTATGTGCCAGACATACGTGATGAGGAATGAAAGTTTTGAAAAAAAGTAGGTATGATTCAAAGTAAGCCTGCAGAGTGAGAAGAATTTTTCTAGGTAAAGAAGCAGAAGAATAATTTTTGGCAGGAGGAACATGCAACAAGTTTGTGTGTTTGCCAGAAGAACATCTGATGAGATTGCCTGTTTGGCAGGAAGAGCAACAACTGCAAAAGACAAGATGCCGAGTGAACTTTGCAGGGTTTCTGAGCAGTTCACTTTTGCTAGTACCAAAAGTGTGAGACACCAGAGTTTGGGAATGAGGTGAATACTTAGCTAAGGCAAGTTTATGATAGACTTTTTTAATACTATAGAAATGAGTAGGTCTTACCCTGTGGGCCATGGGAAATTTACCAGGTAGAATGCTTTGGACTGTAAATACTAGATGAGCAGTGGCTAAAACAGTAGGAACCAGAGTTGTTTTGGTTGTTCAGTGATATCCTAGGATCCCATTTGTCCCTCTTTCAGCTGTGCTGTTGGCAGTGTTTTCTTCATGTTTCCTTTTGTGGTTGGCTAATCCGCAGCAGCTCCAAACATCTTGTTCTCACAACACAACATTTCAAGGGCTGCTTTTCTTCACATGTGTCTTTTAAACAGGGAGAAAACTTAGAAGCATGCAAGGGGCTTCCTGTAACATTTCATTGGCTGGGTCACACCACATGCTCATTCCCAAACCAGGCAATGGGATGGCAAATACATGATTAGCTTAGAATAAACATTTCTCTTTCTGAGGCTGAGGAGGGGGATTGGGATAATAAATATCCCAATAGACTTGTGTTTCTTCTGCAAGAAAGAATAAGGAATGGCTATTGATAGGAGCCAACAATGTGTGCTGCAGGGGCTCATTGGAGAAATTTGAGCAGGGGAGTTACAAGATTAAATTTGAATATTAAGGCATATTCTGCTTATGGTGTAAAATGGGTTAGCAAGCTTTTTCTGTAAAGGACCAGGTGGGAAATATTTTAGACTATGTGGTCTCTGTCATATCTACTTAACCAGGCTGTTGTCTGTTGTTGTAGTGTGAAAGCCACCATGATTATATGTAAGCAAACAGGCATGACTGAGCTCCTATAAAACTTTATTTACAAAGCCAAAAGGCAGATTGGATTTGTCCTGTGGCCTATAGTTTGCTGGGATTGATGGAAGATAACCATGTAAAGAAACCAGGAGACAAAGGAAGCTTTTGCAGTAGTCAGCTATAGTTTCCATGTCACACATCCTTGGACTAGTATCAATGTATTCTAAGGTTTTCACCTGCCCATGGTGAAATAAAGTTTGGAATCTCCGTTACTCATTTTAATGTGTTGGCCTTTTTTTGGTGTTATGCTTTTTTCATTTGTTTTGCTTAATTTTTTTCATGTAAGAAATAACATTAATAGTTGGAAGGCTTTTTTGTAATAAAAGCCATTTTGTAAATGTTTATGTTCTCAGTGGAAGTGGTAATATAAAGCAGAGGCAGAAGAGAGGTATAGTCAATATGATTTAGTGATAATTGAATGAGAAAGGTTTGGAGGACAGAGAGAAATGTCAGATAATTTACAGGTTTCCACGTTGTACACTAGTATTTAAGCTGGGCATGAGGAAGGAGTATGAAATTTTCTCCATGACCTGTGTGAGTCACAGCTTCCAGAAAAGAAAGAGAGCAAGGAGCATATTAAGGAAGCACAGCAAAGTCAGTCCTAGAGTGCCCTGCTTGACTTCATGTCATAGTTCTGACTTCTAAAAAATCATTTTCTGCAAAATGTGCTTTGTGTTTTTCCCCTCTTGCAGCCTGCAGCCAAACAGAATCCCTTTAGCAGGGCATTTTTGTGTTCTTCCTTTAAACAAAGCAACATATAAATAACAAAAAAGAAGTAAGAGAAAGAGTATTTTTTGTATAGGCTAGCATTTAACTTAAACTTGAGAGCGAGTACTAGGATTATACTTAGAATTTATGGACTGGGTAGGAAGACTAGATAGAAATCTAAAGATTGCTGACTCAAACACAGTGTGATTTTTTTTGCTTTATTCTCACAGCTCTGAATTCACAACTATTAGTTATATTCATATACACTATAACTTTATAAAGCACCTTCCCAAACAAATATTAAGTGATTTATTATAATTTCTATGACTTATTATAGAATTGACTTTCCAAGTGTTCATGAGAATTATTGGGAATTTGCTACATAGTATCATCTCAGCTGTGTCCACATGAGCTAGCTGTCACCTTGTCTTAATGAATAATGGCTCACTAGGAATATTGGTTTTGGCATTAAAATGATCTACATCTTAATACAGATAGGACCAGGGACCACTCTTGAACGTTAATGTCTAAGCATCTTAAAGGTACACATAAGGCTTTCATAATCTGACTTCTGCCCTATTCTACATCTTTAGCCCTTTTCCCTGTGTGCCCTTTCTCTGGCATTACTGAGTGGCTCTTAATGCCCTACTCACTCCTCCTTCTATTGCAGGCAAATACTTTCACTCTTTCAGGCCTCGCTCCTGCTCTTGCTGCTGTGTGGCATGCTGTCACCCTTTCTTGCCCTCTACCACTTTTAATCTAGCTAGCCTCAATATTTAAGTCTCTGCTTGGGCAGGTGTTCTAGAAAAGCCATCCCTGACAGGCTTTATTTTCATTCTTTTTAAACCCTAACACCTAGCATGTATGTAGCAGGACTCAATAAGAAATTTCTGAGTAAAATAAAGACTGTTTTTACAAAGATGATGTGCAAGACTGTCCTCTGCAGTCTTGGAGCAGAGGGGACAGACATGTGGAGGAATAGTGTACAGTTCAGGTGGTAAAGGTGCAGTAGAAAAATCAGTGAGGTCCTAAGGCAACCTCAAGGAAGGAGTTACCTGTTTATCTGGGGAAAGATCTGCAGAATCAAGGAAGACTTCCCATAGCATTGTTTTAAAAGATGAAAACAAGGCTGGGTGTGGTGGCTCACACCTGTAATTGCAGCATTTTGGGAGGCTGGAGCAGGTGGATCACAAGGTCAAAAGATCAAGACCATCCTGGCCAATGGTGAAACCCCATCTCTACTAAAAATACAAAAATTAGCTGGGCATGATGGTGTGTGCCTGTAATCACAGCTTCTCAGGAGACTGAGACAGGAGAATCATTTGAACCAGGGAGTCAGAGGTTGCAGTGAGCTGAGATTGTGCCACTGCACTCCAGCCTGGTGACAGAGCAAGACCCCAGCTAAAACAAAAAAAAAGAAAAATGAAAATAAATTTGTCATAATAGTGGATGGAAACATTTTAGATGTTAAGAAGACATTGTACACTAATAAAGGTGTCAGTAGTAATTTTGGAAATCGTTTGTAAGGTACTATTTTTGCAGAAAACAGGAGGCAGGAGAGACCCAGTGGGTCAAACAAGAGGATTTTGTTTAGGTGCACACCAGCTCAGCGGATTTGCATCAAAAAGCTGAGCCCTGAACAAAGACAGGGCTTGGCTTATATAGGCAAACTTATAGAAGCAGAACAAAGGCAGTTAATCATATAGTGACAGTTTTGCAACCACTGCATAGCTTGTGACCTTGCAGCTGCATTGAAGGAAAACAAGAATTTGCAAAATATATGCATTTGTAAAAATAGCTATGAATAAATGCTGAGGGGGAGGGGAGATGGTAAAGGAATTTGTTTTCTTAACCTTGCTCTGGGATGTCTGGAGCCCATACCTGTGGGCTCTGGCTTCTCAGACAGGGTCACCATGACCTTTCCTGGGCCTGCTTGTTACTATCCTTAGAGTCAGACTAGCTAAGTGCAGGAAAACTTGTTTCTCTTTAAAACTAAATTTCCTTTTCTTTACATTTACTGCTTCACTATTAGGAAGTGAACAACATACTGAGTTACCTTATATGTTTCTACTGTATTTTAAAGTTGTGTTTCTGGTGGTTTTGTTCATTTATGTTGGGTGGATGAATTTGTGAGTGAATCACATCAGGTGTCTCCCCAAGTGGTTTGTTGAAGTTTTGGAGAATTATTTCCTAAGTAACTATTTCATGAAAGACTAAACACTCAGTTTATGAAATAAAATAAAATGTTGTCTTCAATCTATTTTTATAAAGGCAATAGTTTTTAACTGTTCTAAGTGGTTCATTTTAACTGAATATATGGATTTCTCAACAGAACAAGACTTAAAGCTGACATCAGAGGAAGAGTCACAAAGGCTTAAAGTCAGTGAAAATAGCCAGCCAGAGGCATGGAAAATTTTAAGTTTAAATTTTTGATTTAACGTTGTTTTCTTTGCTTGAATAATATTAGATAGTCCAAATGAAATTACCTTTCAGACTAGGTTTTAAGAATCAATAGATTCTTTTTTTAAGAATTTTTTAATAGATTCTTAAAATTTATTTTAATAAATTCAGCAATCTCATTAACAGAAGAATTAATAAATTCTAACTTAACATTTGATATTTAGCTTAAAAACATAACCACTATAAAATTTAAAATACTCTTATTTTATGGTATTCTTATTTAAAATATTCTTATCTGCCTTTTTGATTAGCTTATAGCTAATCTTTCCTTTTGGAATAGAGGCAAAAACATATTCCAGACCTTTGTTTGTTCTTTTATTTTTACAACACCCTAACATGATAAAGTACCATCAATTATTGGATTATATTATTAAGCAATAGAACTGTGAACAATGTAACACTGAAGGTCCCTGAGCTGGATTCATGGTTAAAGAATAATCACGGCCAGTGATTGAAAATCTGCAGTTTTATATTGTCAGTCACAGATACCAAGGTTAAAGACATATTCTGCCTTGTGGTCTCTCACTGACCTCAGCATTTCTGTTCAGGGAGGGAACCAGGTCATAAAAGCAACCCAACTGCCTATTACAAGAATCACATCTTGCAGAATGGGACATTTGGTGTTAGTGCACAAACACAATAACCTTCTACCTTATTTTAGTTGCAGAAAATCAGTACAGATTATTAAAAAATTTTTATCCACTGTAATTAGTACACCTTAGAATATATTAGAACTGGACTTAAGCAGATCATCTAGATACATAACACTATCATATTACAGCATATAATTTCAATTAAAATTTAAGAATTTGCATTTCTTCCTGTTTGGTGTTGATTTCAGCTCCTAATAATTTAAAGCGTGCCTACAATCCAATTAGGAATCTTTTTAAAAAGCACTTCAGTGCACTATAGGGGCTCACTAGTTAGGGTTTCATGAGATATACTCTTTTCAAGTGAGGAAGCCCTTGGAACACTACAAATCATCTGCTAATTCATTTTTGGTAGATTTAACACATAACAAATTAAGTTTAGTCCAAACAAATGGTGACAAAGTTAAGTTTGCTGGTTCATGTTTTTATTCTCCCTTTGTCTAAGGTGAATTATTTTCCCATGTTAGTCAGAAGCCAATGATGTGGCAGTAGCTAAACATAGATTAAAAAGTTAATTCTTAATTTTAATTATTTATTTATTTAATTATTTTAACAGTTAAATTTTATTTTATTTTCTAATTTTTCATGTCCATACTTGATTACTTAAGAATAAAATTATTTTAACATGCATTCCAAAAGAGGAGACATACACGGAAATACAACAAGCAAATTAACCTTCTATTTTTGCATCTGCAGAAAATGTCTCAAGAACCAGAAATAAATAAGGACTGTGATAGAGAGGTATACCTTTATGTTCAAATGTTTCTGTGGAATTAGATTTTTATGTTATGCTGTTTAACAAAGTGTAGTAAGTGTACGCATACATGATCCTATCATGTAAGTAGCATAAATCACCAGTGAAAAATTTAATATTTAACTCAGAAAGAATTCTGTACATTGAGTTTTCAAGAGATACAAACCCTAGAGAGATTCTTTCATTATTATGGAACAATCCTGAATGGTGCCATAAAATGCTAGGTAATGCCACTTTAGGAGATTTGGACCAATCCTTTTATCTTTCTTGGTTTTAGTCTGATTATCACTAGATAATGTGGCTAAAGAAGATAATTACTTATTCTTTGTAATTTCCAGCTGGAAAATTGTATAGCTATTGAATGTGAAATTTGGGGAGCATCTAATTTTCTGGAATTCCATGCTTGCACCTCAGCAGTTTCACTCTGCTCCTTGTGTTGTGGCAAACTTTGGTTTTCATGTTTCAGTGAGCACCATCATGTTTTTGATATCCAGGAACCAAATGAAAAAAGAACGATCAAAGGCAGTGGGGGAGGAGAATATCTTAGTGCAGAAAAGGGCCATCTTCCTTTCTATTCCTGAAGCCCCCCAGTGTCTCATCCTCTACATCTGAGTGTTTAATGTAAAATCTAGGTGGTAAAGACAGAAGACACATTTTGTGTCTATGTCGTTTTATTTTTGTGTTCCCACGAGTCAAATGGGGTAAATTCATATATAAGATTCTGAAGAGTTTTTGGGAATAAAAGCACAAAATGAAGGAGGGCCCTTTTTGAATTTTGGAAAATTCTGTTTTATTCAGTCAAACAGCTGGAATCAAGCAAACTTTACAAAAATTTCAGTGATATACTAATGACATGATAATTACATCTTAAAATTATACGGTTATAGTTCTGTATATATGATCAAATTTAAGTGTGAAATATTTTTAATGACTAAAATAATGGCAAACTGAGTCAATTGATAAAATCAATTAAAAAGGTTATTTTTATTCAATAAAGTGATAACCATCCTTAATATCAAACTTCCACTCAAGGTTGAAGAAGAAATAAAGAAGCATGGAAGTAATCCTGTGGGATTACCAGAAAACCTGACTAATGGTGCCAGTGCTGGCAATGGTGATGATGGATTAATTCCACAAAGGAAGAGCAGAAAACCTGAAAATCAGCAATTTCCTGACACTGAGAATGAAGAGTATCACAGGTAAGCCTATGGCAACATTTAATAGGAGATAACTATATGCTGTCAAACTAATCCTAATTTGGGCTTTCATGATGAACAAATTTTATACTTTTACTAGAATATTCAGCCTTGCCTGTTAATCAGAAAAATGAAAATCAGTAAACAATGAGTTACCGTTTTTTCCAGTCATTAATTTATTTGAAAAATAACCGGCATTGGCAAATGTGAGGGAAAAGGCATTTCCTTTTCTTTTTAATGAACTTTTATTTTAGCTTCAGAAGTTCATGTGTAGGTTTATTATATAGGTAAACTGTGTCATGGAGGTTTGGACTACAGATTACTTCATCAGCCACATAATAAGCAAAATACTCGAGAGGTAGTTTTTTGGTCATCTCCCTCCTGCCACACTCCACCCTCAAGTAGACCCTGGTGTCTGTTATTCTCCTCTTTGTGTCCATGAGTTTTCATTGTTTAGTTCCCACAAATGAGTAAGAATATGTGGCATTTGATTTTCTGTTCCTGCATTAGTTTGCTTAGGATAATGGCCTCCAGCTCCATGTGTGTTGCTGCAAAGGAAATGGTCTCATTGAAAAAGACAATTCATACACTGTTGGTAAATATATTTTGAACATTAATTTATTAGCATATTTGCACACACACATATATAACATAGTAAGGATATATATGTATGTTAAGGATATTTGTATAGATTTGTCACATATATACTTATGTATAAGGACATTTCTTACAGCGTTATTATATCAAAAAGATGGATCCTTATCAATAGGAATTTATCATTATCAAAAGTAAATCCTTACCAATAGGAAATGGCTCAATTTTCATACCCAGAAAATAATACGGTATGCAAACATTTTTTACAAATGAGGTTAGATCTAGAGTATACTGATTATTTCACAATTAAAATGTATTTAAAGCATTTAGTTTGGTAACACATCTTAAGATAATTTTGTTAGAATTCTTGTAATATCTGCTGTGTTGCAAATGGAAGCTACACGCTACATTGACACTGTACCTTGTTAGCAACGAGATTGCTAGTTATTAAATTTTTGTTGTCAGTGCCTGAGTGCCAAAATATTGGACCTTCAATCTGAATATTGCCAAGGGATTGTACATGGGGATCTATATTTAATATAAACATTTGAGTATATTGGGTAAAACTTTTATTAAAATATATCAAAGTATCTTTCATCTGCTAAACCAGGAGCTGGCCAGCTTTTTCTGCAAAGAGCCATTTAGTAAATTTTTAGGCTTTGTGGACTATATATATTTATTTTTTTTGAGACAGGGTCTCTGTTGCCCAGGCTGGAGTGCAATTGTGTGATCACAGCTCACTACAGCCTTGACTTTCTGGGCTCTAGTGATCCTCCCACCTCAGCCTCTCTATTAGCTGGGACCCCAAGTGTGCAACATCACACCCAGCTAATTGACTCTATGGACTGTAAAGTGAATAAGCATGGCTGTGTTCCAAGATTCTTTACTTACAAAAACAGGCAGTGGGCTGGATTTGGCCCACAGGTGCTAATTTGCTGACCCTTGTGCTAAAAGGAAGGTGCTGCTAATGCAGTAACACTTATTTATAAAAGTGCCCAGCATGTGTGACATTATCTTTCCTTTGAGAAAAGGATATATTTTGGTATTCACCTCACCATATTTTTCCACAGTGACTTCATATAATTTTAAAAATTTCATTTGTAAAATAAGATTATTTTCTGCATTTCTGCCACTTTATTCCTGTTAATAGAATTCAGTATTTTATGGTGATCAATTACTTTGTATATTCGATGAGCATCAACTGTCCTAGAATTGGCTGATTTTTATCAAGCAAGAAATACTCTCCTTGAAACTTTTAGTTTTTCTTGGTCTTTATGTATAAGCATGAACAAAATGATAATTAGCTTATGTAATCTAGAAATGGTCAAGGCAACTTTTAGTTCTATAGTTTTAAGATTTAACACCTTGGTCTGGCATTTTTAATGCCACATGTGTATAATTTTTATAAGCTTTAAAATATATAATTGTTATATAAAATTTGAAAACTACACCTTTTATGTAAAATTTGAAACTATTTGTCTATTACTTTTCCATGACTGTGGAAGAAAATTACAACATTCTCAGCCATGACTCTTAAGTATGATGTCCTTAAAAGAACTGTCTACACTCACGAACTCAAATTTTCTTTTCATTCACTCTTGATCTCATGCCAGTAAGTCTTCAATTTCAGCAGTCCTCCAGCATTGTTTTTCCTCAAGATTATCACTATTTTTTTTTTCTGTAATAAATCTAGGCCCTTTTCTTCCACCTCATTTTATTTAATCTGTCAGCAATATTTGAGCCAATGGAGGGCATCTCCTCCCTAACGGCATCTTCACTTGGCTTTCAGGACCTCACTCCCTCAGGCTTTTCCTCCTGCCTTTCTAGTCCATTCATCATGGTCTGTTTTGCTTGCTCCTCCTCATCTTTCTCCTTTTGGACATTGTTGTTTCCCAGGGCTCACTCCTCAGTCTTCTTTCTCGTGACTTTTTCTTTTTCTTTTTTGGAGACAGAGTTTCACTCTGCCTCCCAGGCTGGAGTTCAGTGGTGTGATCTCGGCTCACTACAACCTCTGCCTCCTGGGTTCAAGCAATTCTCCTGCTTCGGCCTCCTGAGTAGCTGGCATTACAGGTGCATGCCACCGTGCCCAGCTGATTTTTGTATTTTTAGTAGACACAGCATTTCCCCATGTTGGCCACCCTGGTCTCAAACTCCTGACCTCAGGGGATCTGTCTGCCTTGGTCTCACAAACTGTTGGGATTACAGGTGTAAGCCACTGCACCTGACCCCTCGTGACTTTTTCTACTGTGTATATGCTAGTGATTTCTGAATGTATGTCTCCAGCTCAGATCTTTCTCCTTAATTCCAGATTTCTATATCAGCCTGCCTACTTGACGTCTCTATTTGGTTAGTTATTGGGTATCACACACTTGTCAGATCCAAAATTGGGCTACTGATGTCCTTCCTGAAATCTGCACCTCATGTAGTCTTTCCTATTTTTGGTTAAGGGCAACTCTTCCAGTTGCTCTGCCAAATATCTCGGTGTCATTCTTGACTCATCTCTCTCTCTCTCTGACACCTCACATCTAATCTCTCAGTAAATCTTGTCAGGTCTACCTGAAGAATATGTCCAGAAGTCAGTCATATCTTGTACATCTGAGCCACCCTCATCTGCAGTCTAGATGAGTGTCATAGACTGGGAATTGATAGTCCTGGTTTTTAAAAACTTCCCTTTTCATCAATTCTTAACTCAGTGGATGTATTTAAAACATAAGTCAAATTGTGTCATTCCTCTGCCCCAGCCCTTCTGTTTATCTCCCATTTCACCCGGAGTATGTGTCAAAGTTCCTCCTAATTATCTCCCTTGCTCTGCTTCAGCCAAACTGATCTCTTGCCGTCCCTTATCTACCCCTAGTGCTTAAAGATGCCAGGCACACCTCTGTGATTCGCAGTTCCCTGTGTCTGGAATGCTTTTTCCCCAGTTATCCTCCTAGCTTTCTCTTTCCATTCCTTCAGTTCTTTATTTAAAACCCCCTTTCTAAGAAGAAGAGGAAAAAGGGTAAAAAGAAAGACATTAAGGAACAACCACTTTCTGAGGAAGAACAGCATGCTACCTAGACGCGTCATGCTTGAGGTTCAATTGGGTGCCTACCAGGGATGCTCTCTAACGTAATGAAGGGAAGGTTCAGTGAAACAAAGTGATTTAACATCTCTAACTTCAAACCCATTTGTATCTTGACATCAATGCCGTTAACCTTATGTCGTCATTTCTTAGAGTCTTTGATATACAAATAAAAGGTTTTTTGTATTAGAAAAAAAAATCCCCTTTCTCAGCAGGGACTTTTCTGACCACCCCAACTTTCCCACCACCCTCCCCATGAAACACATAAACATTTCATTTTCCTGCTTTAGTTTTTCTCCTCTAACATACTGTATATTTTGCCTTATCTGTCTGTTGTTATTGTGTGTTTTTCTCACTCTCATGAATGGGGTTTTTATTTTTCACTACCATATCCTCACTGCCTAGAAAAAGGCCTAGCATATTGGATGAAGCTACCTAATAAATACTTATTAAATGAGTGAATGGAGTTTATCCTGGATATATTGTTTGATTAATTCTCACTTTAAAAATGTTTGACATGGTTCATTCTAACAGTTTTGCCCAGTAATTACATGCATTTTAAAAATTGTTTTGGCTCTTTATAATAAGCTACATTCTTTATATTATTTTTTTATTTAGAGAGAAAAGCCCAATATTGTGGTTATTCACTATTTATTCTTTTACTAGTAAACATAATTGTAATTATGGTAAACTGAGTCAGAGGAATTGCAAACTTTACTAGTATTTTATTTTATTTTGAGATGGAGTCTTGCTGTATCCCCCAGGCTGGAGTTCAGTGGTATGATCTCAGTTCACTGCAACCTCCGCCTTCTGGTTCATGTATTTCTCCTCCCTCAGCCTTCCAAGGAGCTGGGATTACGGGGGCATGCCACCACGCCTGGCTAATATTTGTATTTTTAATAGAGATGGGGTTTCACCCTGTTGGTCAGGCTGGTCTCAAACTCTGTACCTCAGGTGATCCACCCACTTCGGCCTTTCAAAGTGCTGGGATTACAGGCATGAGCCACTGCGCCTGGCCACTAGTATTTTATTTAAAAAAAAAATTAGGGTGGCACATTTAATGGACTTACAAATTCTTTTCAAGGGATTATGAACCTTTGGTATTTGAAATAAAGATACAGAGTTGGAATTTTTTGCTTCCTATAGTAAGAGGAATACTGGTCAGGCACTGTCTATTCTGGTGGAGCAGGTGCTGCTGCGTGGCTGTATTTCAGAAGCAAGCTGCTCACATTGATATTGGTTGGTGAGCAAGAGCAGTGGTCATTGATTGATTGACTAGATTTCATACTGGCTTTTGGGTGGCTTGTTGTTACCATTGGTACAAGTCATTTCTTTCCTAAGTTAGAGTCAACTTTAACCGAAAATTTTCTGTATAAAAGTTGCCTTCAATTAACTATGTTCAAAATGAAAGTATTTTATATTCCAGAATTGTAGACTTCATTTTAAAATTTTGGTCAAGATGAATTGGTTAATAATAGCTCTCAGGAAGATCTGTTTTCTTTTTTTTAAATACATATTTCTCTGTATAATTTATTCGTTAAAATTAATTATTTTCTTTCTGTTTTTGGTATTTTTAGAAGCTTTTGCTTAAGTCCTAACATAATCTCCAGTAGGAGATTTTAGTCTCTTTGTCAGTTCATGTATGTATATGGTAGTGATACTCTCTTTTTAAATTCCTTTTCTCATTCACTTTCTTCTCAGTACAATAACAGTGATATTCTTATACATCTTTACCTCATTTAAAAGTAATTACAGTTTTCTGCTGGCAAATTCGGCTTTTTATATTTTGACTAAATACTAGGCTAAAATTGAAGAAAATTTACCAGGTCATTTTATTTTCAAACAAAATCATTACTAATAAAAATTGCTATTTTTGAAATATAAATAATGACATTTTGATATTTTAAAAGTAAGGATACACCCCCCCCAATAGTTTCGCTTTGTGTTTCCACCCAAATCTCATGTCAAATTGTAATTCCCAGGTGTTGAGAGAAAGACCAGCTGGGAGGTATTGGATCATGGGGTCGGTTTCCTCCATGCTGTTCTCTTGATAGTGAGTTCTCACAAGAGCAGATAATTCTATAATGGGCTCTTTCCCTTTCACTTCTCTCTCTCCTGCCACCTTTTGAAGAAGTTGCCTGCTTCCCCTTTACCTTCTGCCATGATTGTAAGTTTCCTGAGGCCTTCCCAGCCATGTGTAACTGTGAATCAATTAAGCCTCTTTCCTTTATGAATTACCCAGTCTCAGGTATACATACATACATACATATATATATATATATATATATATATATATATATATATATATATATAATTTTCTTTATTCCACTCATCAGTTGATGGACACTGGCTGATAACATATCTTTGCATATGTGAATTGTGCTGCAGTAAACATATGTATATAGGTGTCTTTTTGAGAGTATGATTTCTTTTATTTTGGGTAGGTATCCAGAAATGAGAATGCTGGATAGAATGGTAAGATCTACTTTAACAGAACTCTCCATAATGTTTTCCATAGATTTGTACTAATTTGTATCCCCACCAGCAGTGTATAAATCTTCTTTTTTCACCACATCCACACCAACATCTGCTGTTTTTCTTATTTTAGTAGTGACCATTCTGGCTGAAGTGAGGTGATATCTCACTGTTGTTTTATTGTACATTTCCCTGATGATTAGTAATATTTAGCATGTTTTTATATTCTTGTTCACCATTTGTACATCTTCTTTTGAAAAATGTCTATTCATGTCATGTGCCCACTTTTTAATGGAATTGTTTGTATTTTTCCTGCTGATTTGTTTGAGTTTCTGGTAGGTTATGGACATTAATCCTTTGTTAGATTCATAATTTGCCCATATTTTCCCCATTGTATAGGTGGTTGGCTCACTTTGATGATTATTTCTTTTGCTGTGCTGAAGCTTTTTAGTTTAATTAGGTCTTTATTTATTTATTTATTTATTTATTTATTTATTTTTATTTTTGTTGCTTTTGCTTTCAGGGTCCTCATCATAAATTATTTGCCTAGGCTAATGTCTTCTGGTCTTAGGTTTAGGCCATTAATCCATCTTGAATTAATTTTTTACATGGTGAGAGATAGAGATCCAATTTTATTCTTCTATATGTGACTATCTTTTTTTCCCAGCACCATTTGTTGAATAACGTGTACTTTCTCCAGTGTATGTTTTTGTATCCTTTCTCAGAGATCATTTGGTTGTAAGTGGCCTTTTTTCTGAGTTGTCTATTCTGTTCCATTGATCTGTGTATGTACTTTTATACCAGTACCATGATGTTTGTTACTGTGGCCTTAGAGTTGAAGTCAGGTAATTTGATGCCAACATGTTTGTTCCTTTTTCTTGGTATGTCTGTTGCTATTCAGGCTCTTTTGTGGTTCTACATGAATGACAGCTTTTTAAAATAACTCTGTGAAGAATGACATTGGTACTTTGGTAGAAACTGTATTGACTCTGTAGACTACTTTGGGCACTATGGCATTTTCACAATATCAATGCTTTCAGTCCAGGAACATAGAATGTATGTTCATTTATTTGTATGATCTATGATTTTCTTCAGTGGCGTTTTCCAGTTATCCTTTGATAGATCACTCACCTCCTTCATTAAGTATATTCCTAGGTATTTTACTATTTTGCAGCCATTGTAAAAAGGATTGGATTCTTGATATGACTCTCAGCTTGGTTGTAGTTGGTGTATAGTGGTACTATTCATTGGTATTTGTATATTTTGTAACCTCTGAGACTTTACTAAATTCATTTATCAAATCTAGGAGTGTTTTGTAGGAGTCTGTAGGGTTTTCTAGGCATAAGATCATATCATTGGTGAAGAGAGAGTTTGACTTTCTCTTTTCCAATTTGGATGCCCTTTATTTCTCTTGCCCAATTGCTCTGCCTAGGGCTTCCCAGTTTTCTTCTTAATATGCATGAAATAAAAGTGAAATTGAAAGCGATTAATGATCAGTTTATTTCACATCTCTCTCTCATACACAGATAAAATTAATTCAAAGTTCTATGTTAAAAACACAATATTAGACCCTGTCTTGTTCCAAAGGGAATTTCTAATTTGTCTATAAATTACAGAGGAATCAAGAATATAAGTGGAAACTGTTTCCAAAAAATAAACGTAAAAAGTTTGAGTTAACACAGGGGTTTCCAATCCCCAGGCCACAGACCAGTACCAGTCCCTGGCCTGTTAGGACCTGGGCCACACAGCAAGAAGTTAGTGGTAGATGAGCAAGTGAAGCTTCATCTGTTTACAGCCACTCTCTGTCACATTACCACCTGAGCTCCTCCTCCTGTCAGATCAGCGGTGACATTAGATTCTCATAAGAGTGTGACTTGAACCCTATTGCAAGCTGCTCATGCATGGGATCTAGGTTGTTCACTCCTGATGAGAATCTAATGCTTTATGATCTGTCACCATCTCCTGTCACCCCTAGATGAGACCATCTAGTTGCAGGAAAATAAGCTGAGGGCTCCCACTGATTCTACATGATGGTGAGTTATATAATTATTTCATTATATATTAGTAATAATAGAAATGAAGTGCACAATGTATGTAATGTGCTTGAATCATCCTGGAACCATCCCCCACCTCAGGTCCATGGAAAAATTATCTTCCACAAAACTAGTCCCTGGTGCCAACATGACTGGGAGAGCAGGGTTAACAGATGTGAGGCCCCTTTGCCTTGTCTTGGATTAATGTGCAGATATACATTGTGTGAATGACATCTGATGGTGCCATCTTGCCCTGTAGATCATTTTAGGGACACCTCCAGTATTTCATGAAAATTAAAATTTCTTCTAGTGACGAACAAAATGATACCCAGAAACAACTTTCTGAAGAACAGAACACTGGAATATCACAAGATGAGATTCTGACTAATAAACAAAAGCAGATAGAAGTGGCTGAAAAGGAAATGAATTCTGAGGTATTTTCTTTAGTCATTATCAAATGTTTTCATATGTGTATATATTTTTAAAAAGCTTTATTTTGGAAGGTATAAAGGATTTTTAAATCATATATATACACACGTGTGTGTGTGTGTGTGTGTGTATATACACACACACACACACACACACACCCTGTATATCCTTGGTCATATATCTATATATGTACACATAGGATAAAGCCATGTTCTTAATTCAACTGCATTTGCCTGCAACAGTCGAGTAGTGACCTTCACAATGGCCTCAATCCAAAGGAAAAGCATTTGATATTTTTCATAAGAATTGATTATCTTTCCAATATCAAAAATAAGTTTTGCTACTAACAACAGATTTGCTAGTTTTGGGACATTAGTTCTTTTTAAAATATTAATAGAGAAGTCAGTTTGTTATTTTCACTAATAGGAAAGTAGGAAATGTACAGCTGGGTCAGAGGCCACATTGTGGATGTCATTATCCTTGCTTTTGAGGAGAGGAACAGTTTGCTCCGAGTAGTTTCTCAATTCAATGCAAAGAGCTTTGAAAACAATGACATGCCATGATACACATTTAGTGATAATTTATTGATAAGTATTTTGTTCCCAGATGAATAGTTCAGTACGTTTCCCGTATTTCACACTTACTACTATAATGTTTCAAACATTATGAAGAGGAAAGAAAAGTTATTGCAATGGCAAATAATCTCATGATTTCTAAGAAAAGCCTTGTAAGTTATATCTTATTTACCATCTGTATTTTGAAATAAAAGGCTTCTTTTGTATTTATATATTTACACCACAGAAGCAACTGATTTTGTGGAGGATCACTAACAGTAGCATCAGAAGACCTGGCAAAAATCTTGCACGTTGCATATATATATGTGTGTGTGTGTGTGTGTGTGTGTGTGTATTCTAGATGGAGTCTTGCACTGTCACCCACGCTGGAGTGCAATGGCACAAACTCAGTTCACTGCAACCTCTGCCTCCCAGGTTCACACGATTCTCCTGCCTCAGCCTCCTGAAGTGCTGGGATTACAGGTGTGAGCCACTGGTCCTGGCTGCATATATTTTTTGATCTCTCCTTTTAAGAATCGTGATCTTAAATGAGTTGAGTGTTGTATGTAGAAGTGCAATGCTTAGATGCCGGTGTGTACATTGTAGAAGGGTACAATGCTTAGATTTAACAGTTATGAATAAATGTAATTCTTATAACTGACTGTAAAAATATTAGAAAAGCAGTATATTGATAAAACATTCCTCAGAAAAAGGAACTTAAAGAACTTTGAGGAATTGCTTCTGTCCTAATATATGCATAGCTAAGGCTCTTATGATGGTGTGGTTTGTAGGTTAGATATCAGAGTGTAAACCCAATTTAAAAAATGTAGCCAAATGTATTAATCTTCTATTTTATGCCTCTGGGTTTTTTGTAATTCAGAGAAAGGCTTTTCCAATTCTGAAATTCTTAAAAATCCTCTAGTGATTTATTTTTCATGGTCTTTAGATAAATATTTCAACTTTTTGGAATTTACACTCTTCTAGATTTGAAGTTTTGTCCAACTTTTTTCCAGTTAAATATCCACTATGGGAATTATTTCATTATAGAAATATAAATGTCATTCTTTGATTTTAGAAGAAATCATGATATGTCATTCTATTGAGTGCTAACTAAAAGTTCCCTTTGTTTACTTAGCTTTCTCTTAGTCATAAGAAAGAAGAAGATCTCTTGCGTGAAAACAGCATGTTGCGGGAAGAAATTGCCATGCTAAGACTGGAACTAGATGAAACAAAACATCAGAACCAGCTAAGGGAAAATAAAATTTTGGAGGAAATTGAAAGTGTAAAAGAAAAACTTCTAAAGGCTATACAACTGAATGAAGAAGCATTAACGAAAACCAGTATTTAAGTACAGTGGACAGCTTAGGATTTTGACAACTGAGAATGCTCAGTTCTGAACTGGAGAATGTAAGACACAGCTAGGAAACACTGGAAATGGAAATTCAATCATGTCATTGTAGACTGACTACTGCTCTACATGATTGTGATCAAAGTCAGATAGCTGAAAGGGACTTCTTTCCAGAGAGCAAACATCAACAGGTTTATTTACAGGAGAAAATGAATTCTTATATATCTCACCTAAAAGATAACAGTGAGATTCTTTCTGAACAACTCTAACGCTGACAGTAAAATTAACAACCTAAAAATTAAGCTCCATCACACAGGATAAATTCTGAGAGAAAAGATGAGGCAGGCCACCATCTTTCCTGTTTGGGCAACTTAGTCATTCCAGCGTGCGGGCTTTGGAGAGTACAAACTCACCAGGGACAGAAGAGATCCTGTGGCATAGCACAGCTGCTTTACCAAATCATGGCCAGAATGCTTCTGTAAGCAGGCCCCTGATCCTGTTCCTCATCACTGGACAGGATCTCCCACCTGAGGCCTCCAGCTACACCCACCAGTGTTCCCTGGCCAATGGAGATTTGAAACCTTCCTGGGACAGAGTTCCCAGAGAGAGGGGTGGGCCATGATGGGCAGGTCTTCCTGGCCTGGGTCTCCAGCCAGCCCCCCACTTGAGCCTTCAAGCCAGTAGCAACTCAGCAACTCCCTGGACAGAGCTTCCAGGAGCAACAGAAATCCTCTCTGCCACTGCCTCTGCAGTGGAACTGCCCTTGCTACCCTCAGAATATCAAGGGAGCAAAGACCCTAAGTGCCATATTGACACCTCCAACAAGCTGCAGTTGACACAAGGAACAAGTCAGTCCACCTTCCACGGGTACAACACACTCCTTACTGCTCATCACCAGACAAGGAACCCTGGCTTGGGCCCACAGCACAGACCCTCCATCCTGGGGTGATTACATTAAGTAACTCCTAACTTACACCTCTCTGGGGTGTAGCCCCCAGGAGACAAGGAAAGTGGTGGAGCAGCAAGTCAGCTGATGTGGAGCCCGGAGGGCAGGGACATCTATGTCTCTAGGCTCCACTTGCTCTTATGAGACACTTTATCCCAGCACTTAAGGAGTGCTGAGGTCAGACCAGCCCCATCTCACGTGCAAGATTGCCCAGCACAGATCAGGTCTAAGAGTTCTCTTCCTAAAAAGGGGGACTTGCTTAAAAAAGAAGTCTGGCCGCGTTTGTGTAGAGCAGTTGTGCTGTGCTGAGGATTCACTTTTGAGAGAGTTCTCCTCTGAGACCTGATCTCTGCTGGGCAGTCTTGCACATGAGATGGGGCTGGTCTGACCTCAGCACCCCTTAGTCTGCTTGCCTCTCCCAGGACCCCAGCCAGGCCACACCTGCTTAGAGGGCACTTCTGGGTGCCCACACCATAGCTTCTGTACAAGCGGACCGTGGCTGATCAGTGGAGAGCTGCAGCAAGGTGACCTCTACAGCCACGTACCAGCCTACACATTACCTCTCCATACTGCAGCCCTTTATATGGAAACTTCCTACATCACTTAGCTGTGTGTGTTTACACAGGTGGGTTTTGTTGTACTTGCCCTAACAGCATATGGGAATGCAGCACACACCCCAACCCACACCAACTGCCACTGAAGATGAAGCCATGGTGGGCACAGAACCAAAAACCCCACCCCTGCTAGCATCTCACCCTTGAGGTAATGCTGTGCAGAGGAAAAGGGACCTTCTTATACCCTGAGTGACCACTGTTGCTTGGGGGGGATCAGAGAAGGCACCTTCACTGGCCAGCCACCCACCCCAAACCAGAACTACCTCCAGTGCAACAGCACACACAGTCAGCAGGGGCCCCCTGGCCCACACCCCAGCTGTTTTGCCTCCACCACTAGGTGAATGCCCACAGGGAGGCAGGGACTTTTGCATCTGCTAGCATTCTGCCACAGCTGCCGCACTTTGGTCCCCTCAGTGCGGTGGACTCCAAACCTCGAGGAGCCAGAGAACAAAGTTGTGGCCCAATACAAGTTCCCCAGAGTTAAAGCACACAGTCCAAGAATTGGGAGCTGCATGTTGGCCCCTTAAAATCCTCCAAAGACAAAACCTGTTGGCTGAATCCACCTTACACCACAATCAAATCCTCAAGGTCATCAGATATAATAAAGGAAAAATACCCTGTCCAAAGGTCAGCAGCCTCAAAGATTGAAGGTGGATAAGCCCATAAAGATGAGAAAAAGACTCTGTGCAAGAACACTGAAAACTCAAAAATTCAGCATGCTTTCTTTTCTCCAAATGACTGCATCAACTCTCCAGCAAGTGTTCAGAACTGGGCTGAGGCTGAGATGTCTGAAATGATACAAGCAGAGTTCAGGATATGGGTAGGAACAAAGTTCCCTGAGTGAAAGAAGTATGTTGTAATCCAATACAAGGAAGCTAAAAATCATTGTAAAACATTGCAGGAACTAACAGACAAAATAGCAAGTATAAAGAAGAAAATAACTGACCTGACAGAGCTGTAAATCACACTAGAAGAATTTTCATAATGCAGTCACATGGTGATTGTGTGTGATTGCATTATGAAAATTATTGTAGTATGTGTGGGCACATGAGAGTGCCCTGTAAGCAGATGTGGCCAGGCTGGGGTCCTGGGAGAGGCAAGCAGACTAGGGAGGGCTGAGGTCAGACCAGCTCCATCTCATGTGCAAGACCATCCAACAGAATAGACCAAGAAGAGGAAAGAATCCCAGAGCCTGGAAACTGGCTTTCTGAAATAAAACAGGCAAACAAGAATGGGGGAAAAAAGAATGAAAGGGAATGAAGAAAACATCCGAGAAATATGGGATTATATAAACGACTAAATCTATGACTGATTAATGTACCTGAAGGAGATGAGGAGAATGGAACCAACTTGGAAAACACATTTCAGAATATCATTCATGAGAATGTCCCCAACCTAGCCAGACAGGCCAACACTCAACTTCAGGAAATCCAGAGAACCTCAGTAAGATATGCCATGAGAAGATCATCCCCAAGACACATAATCATCAGATTCTCTGCGGTCAAAATAAAAGAAAAAGTGTTAAAGGCAGCTAGGGAGAAAGGCAACATCACCTGCAAAGGGAATTCCATCAGACTTAGCAGACCTCTCAACTGAAACTGTACAAGCCAGAAAAGATATTCAACATCTTAAAGAAAAGAAATTTCAACCCAGAATTTCATGTCCAGCAAAATTAAGCATCATAAGTGAAGGAGAAACAAGATCCTTTTCAGACAAGCAAATGCTGAGGGAATTCATTATCACCAGACCTACCTTACAAGAGCTCCTGAAGGAAGCACTAAATATGGAAAGAAAAGACCACCACCAGCCACTACAAAAACACACTGAAGTACACAGACAAGTGATGCTAAAAACCAACCACATACATAAGTCTGCAAAAAAGCCAGCTGACAGCATGACGACAGGATCAAATCCACACATACCATTACTAACCTTAAATGGAAATGGGCTAAATGCTCCAATTGAAAGACACAGGGGGCAAGCTGGATAAAGAACCAAGACCCATTGGAGTATGCCGTCTTCAAGAAACCCATCTCACATGCAGTGCCCTACATAGGCTCAAAATAAAGGAATGGAGAAAAATATTTCAAGGAAATGGAAAATAGAAAAAAGCAGGTGTTGCACTCCTAGTTTCTGACAAAGCAGACTATACCAATAAAGATTAAAAAAAAAAAAAAAGACAGAGGGCTGGGCGCGGTGGTTCACGCCTGTAATCCCAGCACTTTCGGAGGCTGAGACAGATGGATCACAAGGTCAGGAGATCGAGACCATCCTGGCTAACACGGTGAAACCCCGTCTCTACGAAAAATACAAAAAATTAGCTGGGCATGGTGGCGGGTGCCTGTAGTCCCAGCTACTTGGGAGGCTGAGGCAGGAGAATGGTGTGAACCTGGGAAGTGGAGCTTGCAGTGAGCCAAGATCGTGCCACTGCACTGCAGCCCAGGCGAGACAGTGAGACTCCGTCTCAAAAAAAAAAAAAAAAAAAAAAAAAAGAGAGAAGGAGATTACAAAGGTGGTCCTGACCTTTGATAAATCTCATTATTGCTTGATACCAACCTGGGCTATCTTTATTGCCCAAACCAATAGGATAATGTGCTGAGGTTAGGGAGCTTCTCCCCTGCAGAGAATCCCTGATCTCCCAAAATTTGGTTGAGATCTAAGGTTGATTTTGCTATACAACTCCTTTTCTGAAGTTTTACTTATTTCCAACAAGGCAAGTTTTCCTGCTTCCGTGATGATGGAGAGCAGGCACCTCCTTTCTTGAGTTTCAGCTTGCTTCTGACAGGGAAGGTGAGTGTAAGTTTTTTCCAGCTTCTAAGATGGCAGAGAACAATCACCAGCCTGAGACTTATTTCCAGGTAAGTAGCTGAATTAGAGTTTTGTCTTAAAATTTTTCCTTAATGACTAAAATTTAAGATTACTCACCAGCTGCTTTTAATTTCTCGTTACCATTAGAACACTCAGTAATCATATGAATTGTGCATTTGTTTGTTTTGCTTAACTCTTTTTGTTTGTTTATGTTTGGGGTTTTGTTGTTGTTGTTTCACTTTTCTCCCATCTCTTCCTGACTTGGTCAAATCCAAAGAATGCTCCAAATTGTGGGGAACAAGGCTTCTGAATTGGCTAAAACTCATGTGGCTGCAAAAAAAAAAAAAAAAAATTCCAGTTAGCAGAAATGATTTTTTTAACTTTTTTATTTTTATTTTTTGCATAAGTGGTTGCATCTTTTGCTAGCCAAGGCCAAACTGAGGGAGTAGTGGTGGCGACCCAAAGTTAAGATTCTGCCCTGTTCACTACAGAAACCTGAGTTTGGTTCCTAAGTCTAGTTCTTTCTGTTTGATATTTGTGTTACTTTTAAAATATCAGCAGTTTGTCCCAGCTATGATGTGGTAGTAAAAGATTCAGAAGTATTTTCTTTACAAGTTCTATGTTGAAAAGCTTAATTAAAAGCAAATTTATTTTTTTTTAATTATACTTTAAGTTCTGGGGTACATGTGCAGAACATGCAGGTTTGTTACATACGTATACACATGCTATGGTGGCTTGCTGCATGCACCAACCCATGATCTAATGCCATCCCTTTTCTAGCCCCCCACCCTGACAGGCCCTTGTGTGTGATGTTTCCCTTCCTGTGTCCATGTGTTCTCATTGTTCAGGTCCTACTTATGAGTGAGATCATGTGGTGTTTGGTTTTCTCTTCTTGTGTTAGTTTGCTGAGAATGACAGTTTCCAGCTTCATCCATGTCCCTGCAAAGGATATGAACTCATCCTTTTTTATGACTGCATAGTATTCCATGGTGTATATATGCCACATTTTCTTTATCCAGTCTATCATTGGTGGGCATTTGGGTTGGTTCCAAGTCTTTCCTGTTGTGAACACTGCCGCAATAAGCATACGTGTGCATGTGTCTTTATATTGGAATGATTTATATTTTTTTGAGTATATACACTGTAATGGGATTGCTGGGTCAAATGGTATTTCTAGTTGTAGATCATTGAGGAATCATCACACTGTCTTCCACGATGGTTGAACTGATTTATACTCCCACCAACAGTGTAAAAGCATTCCTATTTCTCCACATCCTCTCCAGCTTCTGTTGTTTCCTGATTTTTTAATGATGGCCATTCCAAGTGGCGTAAGATTGTATCTCATTATGGTTTTGAATTCCATTTCTCTAATGACCAGTGCTTTGCTTCACATGTTCATTGGCTGCATAAATGTCTCCTTTGGGAAGTGTCTGTTCATATCCTTTGCCCACTTTTTGATGGGGTTGTTTGTTTTTTTCTTGTAAATTTGTTTAAGTTTTTATAGATTCTGCATATTAGCCCTTTGTCAGATGGATAGATTGCAACAATTTTCTCCCTTTCTGAGGGTTGCCTGTTCACTCTGATGATAGTTTCTTTTGCTGTGCAGACACTCTTTAGTTTAATTAGATCCCATTTGTCAATTTTGGCTTTTGTTGCCATCGCTTTTGGTGTTCTAGTGATGAAGTCTTCGCCTATGCCTATGTCCTGAATGGTATTGCCTAACACAAGGACATTTCTGTGCCTGAATGCCATATCTCCCAAAGTAATTTATAGAATCAGTGCTATCTCCATGAAGCTACCATTGACTTTCTTCCCACAATTAGAAACACTACTTTAAATTTCATATGGAGCCAAAAAAGAGCTCGCGTAGCCAAGACAATCTAAGCAAAAACAATAAAGCTGGAGGCATCACGGTACCTGACTTCAAACTATTCTACAAGGCTACAGTAACCAAAACAGCATGGTACTGGTACCAAACCAGATATATAGACAAATGGAACAGAACAGAGGCCTCAGAAATGACACAACACATCTAAAACCATCTGATCTTTGACAAACCTGACAAAAACAAGCAATGGGGAAAGGATTCCTTATTCAATAAATGGTGTTAGGAAAACTGGCTAGCCATACGCAGAAAACTGAAACTGGGCCACTTCCTTACACTTTATACAAAAATTAACTTACGATGGATTGAAGAGTTAAACTTAAGACCTAAAACCATAGAAAACCTAGAAGAAAACCTAGGCCACCAAACTCAGGAGAAATGTACTTGTAGTGCAATGCATGGTACAAACACACATTCCCTGCTTCCTTAAGTGGGTGAGGTTGGTGGCTGGTCCACCTGCTCCAGGTGGATCCTTGCAGAGGTGGCTGGTTGCTCTTTGAGCCAGCTTGGCCTTGCCTGGCATTCACAAGCCTCAGTGCAACAACTGTGCTACAAATGGAGCCACACAGAAAATGACCAGCAGGCTCAGGAGCAGGGTGTACACTGCCTTTGGGGCTCCAGTCCATGCCTCAGGGCTCATAAGGCACCGTGGGCTTCTTGGTTGCCAAGAGGCAGATCACAGGCCATCTTGTGGAGGACTTTATGTTCAAGTGCAGAAAGCAGCCAGGATTACAACCTAGGGGACTCAGCCTTTTGTGACCCTGGCCAGACTTAGAATTTGGCCCCAGGCATGACACGCTCACTCAGAGTAGCGTGTCAGTACCTGGGGCCTGTGCATGCCAGGCAAAGCCAAGCTGGCTCAAAGAGCAACCAGCCACCTCTGCAAGGGTGTGCCTAGAGCAGTTGGACCAGCCACCAATCTCACCCCCTCAACAAAGCCGGGATGGCCAGGTTCCCACAGCCTGAGTGGCTGCCACCTGATGGCTGATGGAGCAGAGGCCTGAGGAAAAGCAGATGGCACTGGGGCCCTACCTTTAGGGTAGAATAACTGAGGTACCATGTCTGGCAGCAAGTGAGGTTGGTGGCTGGTCCACATGCTCCAGGTGCACCCTTGCAGAGGTGGCTGGTTGCTCTTTGAGCCAGCTTGGCCTTGCCCAGCATGCACAAGTCTCAGTGCAACAACTGTTCTACAAATGGAACCACACAGAGGACATTAGAGGCAGGCTCAGGAGCAGGGTGTACACTGCCTTTGGTGCTCCAGTCCATGGCTCAGGGCTCATATGTCACTGCGGGCTTCTTGGTTGCCAAGAGGCAGACCACAGGCTGTCTTGAGGAGGACTTTATGTTCGAGTATAGAAAGCAGCAGGATTACCACCCAGGGGACTTGGCGTTCTGTGGCCCTGACCAGACTTAGAATTTGGGCCAAGGCAGGACAAGCTCACTCACAGCAGCATGTCAGTAGCTGGAGACTATGCATGCCAGGCAAGGCCAAGCTGACTCAAATAGGAACCAGTCACCTCTGCAAGGGTGCACCTGGGACATGTGGAGCAGCCACCAACCTCAGCTACTCAAGGAAGTAGGGATGGCCAAGTTCCCACAGCCTGAATGGCTGCCTCCTGATGGCTGATGGAGCAAAGGCCTGAGGAAAAGCGGATGGCACTGGGGCCCTACCTCTAGGGTAGAAGAACTGATGTGCCCTGACCTGCAACAAGTGAGTTTGGTGGCTGCTCCACCGGCTCCTGGCACACGCTTGCAGAGGTGGCTGGTTGCTCTTTGAGCCAGCTTGGCCTTGCCTGGCATACACAAGCCTCAGTGCAACATCTGTGCTAGGTATGGAGTCACAGAGAGGAAATGAGCAGCAGGCTCAGGAGCAGGGTGTGTGCTGCCTTTGGGGCTCCAGTCCATGCCTCAGGGCTCGTGTGGCACTGCGGGCTTCTTCGTTGCAAAGAGGCAGACCACAGGCCATCCTGAGGAGGACTTGATATTCAAGTGCAGAAAGTAGGCAGGATTACCACCCAGGGGACTCTGCCCTGGACAGAGATAAAATTTGGGCCAAAGCAGAACAAGCTCACTCAGAGCAGCATGTCGGTAGCTGGGGCCTGTGTATGCCAGGCAAGGCCAAGCTGGCTCAAAGAGCAACCAGCCACCTCTGCAAGGGTGCACCTGGAGCAGGTGGAGCAGCCACCAACCTCACCCACTCAAGGAAGTAGGGATGGCCAGGTTCCCACAGCCTGCATGGCTGCATCCTGATGGCTGATGGAGCAGAGGCCTGAGGAAAAGCAGATGGCATTGGGGCTCTACCTCTTGGGTAGAAGAAGTGATGTACACCGACCAGCTGTGAGTGAGGTTGGTGGCTGGTCCACCTGCTCCTGGCACACCCTTGCAGAGGTGGCTGGTTTCTCTTTGCGCCAGCTTGGCCTTGCCCAGCATGCACAAGCCTCAGTGCAACAGCTGTGCTACAAATGGAGCCACACAGAGAAAACAGAGCAGCAGGCTCAGGAGCAGGGTGTGTGCTGCATTTGGGGCTCCAGTCAATGCCTCCGGGCTAGTATGGCTCTGTGGGCTTCTTGGTTGCAAAGAGGCAGACCACAGGCCATCTTGAGGAGGACTTTATGTTCAAGTGCAGAAAGCAGCCAGGATTACCACCCAGGGGACTCTGCCTTCTGTGGCCCTGACCGGACTTAGAATTTGGCCTAACTCAGGACAAGCACACTCAGAGCAGCGTGTCAGTAGCTGGAGCCTGTGCATGAAAGGCATGGCCAAGCTGTCTCAAAGAGCAACAAGCCACCTCTGCAAGGGTGCTCCAGGAGCAGGTGGAGCAGCCACCAACATCACCCACTCAAGGAAGCAGGGATGGCCAGATTCCAACAACCTGAGTGGCTGCCTCCTGATGGCTGATGGAGCAGAGGCCTGAGGAAAAGCAGATGGCACTGGGACCCTACATCTAGGGTAGAAGAAGTGATGTACCCTGACCGGCAGTGAGTGAGGTTGGTGGCTGGTCCATCTGCTCCTGGCACACCCTTGCAGAGGTGGCTGGTTACTCTTCGAGCCAGCTTGGCCTTGCCTGGCATGCACAAGCCTCAGTGCGACAACTGTGCTACATATGGAGCCACATAGAGGAAACGAGCAGCAGGCTCAGGAGCAGGGTGTGCGCTGCCTTTGGGGCTCCAGTCCATGCCTCAGGGCTCGTGTGGCACTGTGGGCTTCTTCGTTGCCAAGATGCAGACCACAGGCCATCTTGAGGAGGACTTTATGTTCAAATGCAGAAAGCAGCCAGTATTACCACCCAGGGGCTCTGCCTTCTGTGGCCCTGGCCAGACTTAGAATTTGGCCCCAGGCAGGGCAAGCTCACTCGGAGCAGTGTATCAGTAGCTGGGTCCTGTGCATGCCAGGCAAGGCCAAGGTGGCTCGAAGAGCAACCAGCCACCTCTGCAAGGGTGCACCTGGAGCAGGTGGAGCAGCCACCAACCTCACCCACTCAAGGAAGTAGGGATGGCCAGGTTCCCACAGCCTGCATGTCTGCGTCCTGATGGCTGATGGAGCAGAGGCCTGAGGAAAAGCAGATGGCACTGGGGCTCTACCTCTTGGGTAGAAGAAGTGATGTACACCGACCAGCTGTGAGCGAGGTTGGTGGCTGGTCCTCCTGCTCCTGGCACACCCTTGCAGAGGTGGCTGGTTTCTCTTTGCGCCAGCTTGGCCTTGCCCAGCATGCACAAGCCTCAGTACAACAACTGTGCTACAAATGGGGCCACACAGAGAAAACAGAGCAGCAGGCTCAGGAGCAGGGTGTGTGCTGCATTTGGGGCTCCAGTCAATGCCTCCGGGCTAGTATGGCTCTGTGGGCTTCTTGGTTGCAAAGAGGCAGACCACAGGCCATCTTGAGGAGGACTTTATGTTCAAGTGCAGAAAGCAGCCAGGATTACCACCCAGGGGACTCTGCCTTCTGTGGCCCTGACCGGACTTAGAATTTTGCCTAATGCAGGACAAGCTCACTCAGAGCAGCGTATCGGTAGCTGGAGCCTGTGCATGCCAGGCAAGGCCAAGCTGTCTCAAAGAGCAACCAGCCACCTCTGCAAGGGTGTGCCTGGAGCAGATGTAGCAGCCATCAAACTGACCCACACAAGGAAGCATGGATGGCCAGGTTCCAACAGTCTGAGTGGCTGCCACCTGGAGACTGATGGAGCAGAGGCCTGAGGAAAAGCAGATGGCACTGGGGCCCGACCTCTATGGGAGAAGAACTGATGTGCCCCAACCGGCAGCGAGTGAGTTTAGTGTCTGCTCCACCGGCTCCTGGCACACCCTTGCAGAGGTGGCTGGTTCCTCTTTGAGCCAGCTTGGCTTCGCTCGGCATGCACAAGCCTCAGTGCAACAACTGTGCTACAAATGGAGCCACAGAGAGGAAATGAGCAGCAGGATCAGGAGCACGGTGTGCACTGCCTTTGGGGCTCCAGTCCATGCCTCAGGGCTCATATGGCACTGCGGGCTTCTTCATTGCCAAGGGGCAGACCACAGGTCGTCTGGAGGAGGACTTTGTGTTCAAATGCAGAAAGCAGCCAGCATTACCACCCAGGGGACTCTGCCTTCTGTGGACCTGACCAGACTTAGAATTTGGGCCAAGGCAGGACAAGCTCACTCAGAGGAGCATGTCAGTAGCTGGGGCCTCTGCATGCCAGGCAAGGCCAAGCTGGCTCAAAGAGCAACCAGCCACCTTTGCAGGGGTGCACCGGGAGCAGGTAGAGCAGCCACCAACCTCTGCTACTCAAGGAAGCAAGGATAGGCAGGTTCCCACAGCCTGTGTGGCTGCCACCTGATGGCTGATGGAGCAGAGGCCTCAGAAAAAGCAGATGGCACTGGGGCCCTACCTCTAGGGTAGAAGAACTGATGTGCCATGTCTGGCAGGCAGTGAGTGAGGTTGGTGGCTGGTCTACCTGCTCCTGGCACACCCTTGCAGAAGTGGCTGGTTCCTCTTTGAGCCAGCTTGTCCTTGCCCAGCATGCACAAGCCTCAGTACAACAACTGTGCTACAAATGGAGCCACACAGAGGAAATGAGCAGCAGGCTCAGGAGCAGGGTGTTCACTGCCTTTGGGGCTCTAGTCCATGCCTCCGAGCTTATATGGCACTGCAGGCTTCTTGGTTGCCAAGAGGCAGACCACAGGCCGTCTTGAGGAGGACTTTATGTTCAAGTGCAGAAAAAAGTCAGGATTACCACCCAGGGGACTTGCCCTTCTGTGGCCCTGGCCAGACTTAGAATTTGGCCCCAGGCAGGACAAGCTCACTCAGAGCAGCTTGTCAGTAGCTGGGGCCTGTGCATGCCAGGCAAAGCCAAGCTGGCTCAAAGAGCAAGCAGCCACCTCTGCAAGCATGCTCCTGGTGCAGTTGGACCAGCCTTTAATCTCACCCACTCAAAGAAGCATGGATGGCCAGGTTCCAACAGCCTGAATGGCTGCCACCTGATGGCTGATGGAGCAGAGTCCTGAGGAAAAGCAGATGGCACTGCTTTGTAATGCCCTTTGTCTCTTTTGATCTTTTCCATTTAAAGTCTGTTTTATCGGAGACTAGGATTGCAACCCCTGCTTTTTTTTTTTTTTTTTTTTTTTTTTGCTTTTCATTTGCTTGGTAAATATTCCTCCGTCCCTTTATTTTGAGCCTGTGTGTGTCTTTGCATGTGAGATGGGTCTCCTGAATACAGCACACCAATGGGTCTTGAGTCTTTTTCCAACTTGCCAGTCTGTGTCTTTTTACTGGGGCATTTAGCCCAGTTACATTTAAGGTTAATATTGTTACATGTGAAATTTATCCTGTCATGATGTTGTTAGCTGTTTATTTTTCCCATTAGTTAATGCAGTTTCTTTATAGTGTCGATGGTCGTTACAATTTGGTATGTTTTCCCAGTGGCTCATACTGTTTGTCCCTTTCCATGTTTAGTGCTTCCTTCAGGAGCTCTTGTAAGGCAAGAATGTGGATTTATTTCTTGTAAGGCAAATATGTGGATTTATATCTGGGTGCTGTATTCTATGGCCTCTACCCCAAGAGTCATTACTTTTAAAAATGCAATTCAAATTAGCATAAAACATTTACAGCCTAGGGAAAGGCTTATGGCATTAGAATCCTTATTTATAGGATTATTTTGTGTTTTTTTGAGATATGGTCTCTGTCTGTCATCCAGGCAGAAGTGGAGTGGCTTGGTCATAATTCACTGCAGCCATGAACTCTGAGTCCAAGCCATCCTTGTGCCTTAGTCTCCCAACTAGTTGGATCTACAAGCATAAGTCACCATGCCTGGTTAATTTTAAATAAAATTTTTTGTCGAGATTATGTTATCACTATGTTGCTCTGGCTGGTTTCAAATTCCTGGCCTCAAGTAATCTTTCTGCCACAGCCTCCTATAGTGCTGGGATTACAGGCATGAGCCACCATGCCTAGCATAGAGTATTACATTATTTTCAAAGTCTTATTCTAAGAGCCATTTATTGACTTTGGCCTAAATAACTCAATATTATATCTCTGAAACTTTTTTTGACAAATTTTGGGGCACGATGATGAGAGAAAGGGGTTTGAAACTTTCTAATAAGAGTTAACATAGAGCCATTTAAGGAGGAAAAAACACAAATTATCAGAAAAGTAAAAGAAAGATCAAGTGCAAAAGTTCTGTGGCAAAGATGATAGTAAAGAATATATGTGACTTATGGTGGCTTTTACTTTGTTCTTGAATTTCTGAGTAATTTAAGGGTTAACATTTAAAGAATCTACATTATAGATAACATTTTATTGCAAGTAAATGTATTTCAAAATTTGTTACTGGTTTTGTATGAGATTATTCTCAGCCTACTTCATTTTCAAGTTATATTATTTTATTAATGTAGTTTGATGATCTTACAGCAGAGCTGGAAGCTGTATCTTCAAAATATGTCTGTTTGACTCAAAACAATCAAGGTATTCAACAGGAGTTATTATGTATGAAAAAATACAACAGGAATGTAAAAATCTTGAGGAGGCTAAAAAGATGTTGGAAAAAGTAATATTAAATCTTAAAAAACGTATGGAAAGTACACATTGGTGAAGACACATTGGTGAAGTACAAAAATATAAATTGGATCTAGAAGAAAGGGCAATGCAGGCAATGGAAAAATTAGTACAAATCCCTTTACAGGTTAGTTTGTAAAATCAGGTAAGTTTATTTATAATGTGCTTTCACTTATTTCACTGCAATGGCTCTCTTATAGTAATTTGCCTTGTAGAGTTCTAGCAAAGAGGTGGCATCTGTTTTTACTTTTATATGTTTAAATTTCTATCATTATAACAAAATCGATTTTTCACAGTAATGATTCTCAGTGTGGAGTCATTTGATTATTAAGACCCATTGACATGAGATTACATCCTCTGCCTATAAAAATCCTGGAAGAAAACCTAGGAAATATTCACCTGGACATTGCACTTGGCAATGAATTTATGGGTAAGTCCTCAAAAGCAATTGCCAGAAAAATAAAAATTGACAAGTATGATTTAATTAAACTAAAGAGCTTCTTCTGCACAGCATGAGAAACTCTCAAGGGATTGAACAGACAGCCTACCGAGTGGAAGAAAATATTCACACACTATGCATACAGCAAAGGCCTATTATCCAGAAGCCATAAGAGACTTAGGCAAATCAACGAGCAAAAAATAAATAACCCCATTAAAAAATGGGCAAAGAACGTGAACAGTTTTCAGAAGAACACATATGTGGCCAACAAACATATTAACACATGCATACCATCACTAATCATCAGAGAAATGCAAAACAAAACATCAGTGAAATACCATCTCACACCAGTTAGAATGACTTCTGTTAAAAAGGAAAAGTAATAAAAATATTTAAATATTTAATATTAAAATCATTTAGATTGAGATAAATTAACTTGTCATTATCATTAATTCTCAAAACATGGATATTTAAGAATAACCTTACTTCACATGTAATAACACAACAACTACCTTAAAAACTAAAAGCTGGGGCCTGGCACGGTGTCTCAAGTCTGTAATCCCAGCACTTTGGGAAGCTGAGGTGGGCCGATCATGAGGCCAGGAGTTTGAGACAAGCCTGGCCAACATGGTGAAACCCCGTCTCTACTAAAAATACAAAAATTAGCTGGGCATGGTGGTGGGCACCTGTAATCCCAGCTACTCAGGAGGCTGAGGCAGGAGAATCATTGGAACCTGGGAGGCGGAGGTGGTTGCAGTGAGCTGAGATCACACCATTGCACTGCAGCCTGGGCAACAGGGCGAGACTCCATCTCAAAAAAAATAAATAAAATTAAATGAATACAAACAAATAAATAAAAGCTGGAAGTTCTATGAAAACATTAATGCACATACCATTTTTTAAAAATGTTCATGGTTTCTCTAGAGATTTCAATACCTATTCTAGCTTATTACAGTAACCTATAATTTGTACTATACCAACTATGGTATAAAAACCTTAAAATGTATATTTCTGTTTCCTCTCTCCTTTATACTATTTATGTCATGCATTATAGTCTCAAATATTATGAATTCCATAATATAAAGTTACTCTTTTTTTAAAAAATTAGACAATCAATTATCTTTAGAGCAATGTAAAATAATTGGGTTATATATCTTTATATCTTCTCTGGCATTATTTATTTCTTTGTGTAGTTTCAACTTTCACCTGCTTCCATATTCCTTTTGCCTCAAGAAATGATTTTGACATTTATTTTAGTGCATACCTGTTAGCAAGGGACTCTTCCAGTGTTAATCTGCAAATGTCATTTAATTGTTATTTTTGCTGTATTACAGTTAATGGATATAAGATTGGGGGTTGACTTTTCTTCAGTTATTTAAGAATTTTGTATCATTGGTTTCTGACTTGTAGAGTTACTGACAAGCAGTTCATTACAATGTTTGTTTCTGTTTATCTCTCTACACAGTGTTCTTATTTTTTCTGTGACTGAATTCAAGATTTATGCTAATCGTTGGTTTTCAGCAGTTTCACTAGTGTGATTATTCTAGCGTTCTTTAAATTTTGTATTAATCTTTCTTGTATATTTTGAGGTTATTTGGTCTCCTCAGTCATCTTTTTCAAATTTTTCTTCTCTCACATTCTGTTTTTACTCTCCTTCTGTAATTCCAATTAATTGTATTTTGGTTAATTTCATATTACCAGAAAATTCTTTGATTCACTGGAGTATTTTATTTGCTTGGTTCATTGGTTTATTTGGTTTTTCTCTTTCCTCCCTTTGTGCTACCATTCAAATGATTTGTATTGACCTAGTATAAAATTTACTGCTTCTTTCTTTAACTCTGATGACCAGTCTGCTAATCAGCTTGCTGATGTAATACTTCATCTCTGTTCTCATGCTTTCACTTATTTCTAGATTTTGCCTTTTACTGTTCCCATCTTTGCTGAAATTCCTCATTTTTCCATACATGTTGTCTTTTTTTAACTAGATCCTTTAACATTTTGATCATTATTATTTTAAATTACTTTCATTTAGTTCCAACATCTGAATTATCTCTGAATTTGATTCTGTTGACTTTTTATCCTTTGAAAATATTATAACTCATAACTCAAATTTCTAACTTGCTTTTATGTGTCTCCCAATTTCTAAAAAATGCAAATCATCTGATGTAGAAAAACAGTAGATCATGAGATAATTATTTATGTCGAGATTGTTTTATATTTCTGTTTCATTTTTGTTTGTGTCGTGCTATTAGTGTGGGCAGGAACAAAGGTTGCTTTTTGCTGCGGTGTCTGAAACATTCAGTGAACAATGTAACTCAGATTTCTCCAGCAGTAGACTGCTATATGATGTGCCTTGTGTGGGGCCTTAGACTCTGGAGAGCATATGCCAATGATCCTGTTCCACAGTTAGCTTTCGGTAGTCCTTACAACCTATGTTATAGAGAGGGTCTCTCTCCACTTTCTTGTTCTTCTCTAACTGTAGAACATCATTTTGTGTGTGTGTGTGTGTGACTAGGCAAAAAATTCAGGTTGGGGACAGAGGGATGGTTTGTGTTGTTTTTGAGCCAGTTTCATCATTGGACACTCAGAGATGGGGTATTTTTAACACTTCTTGACTCTTTTTCTAGTGGGAGTCAAACTGTCACTTACCTGTGTTGTTTTTTGCAGAAGAAATAATACCTTACCCTCCTCCCACCTCAGTAGTAGAAAACCCCTGATTTATATCATTGCAAGTTTTCAACCCCACAATAAGGGCAAACTCTTTTATTTCTCCTTCCATAGGAACAATGTACCTTTGTCTGTGGTCACTGGATGGAGACTTTCCAAACCTTTACCACAGTAGCACGACTCTGCATTAGTGCAAAATCCTGGGCCCCAAAACAATCCTTGTTCCTCTCCTGATGGAGGAGTATTTTTCTTGCATCCCTCTCCCAGAAGCAGTGATCCTTTGCCTGGTGTCAGGTGGGGTAGGGTAGGGTATGAGAGGTTTCTTAACCTTCTCTGGAAGCTGATGTGTTTTGCTTCTTCTTATCTCCCAGAAACAGTAGACTTTTGCATGGGTTCATGGACCCAGATGCTTTTTTGCCACAGCAAATTAAGGGTTTTGATTCTTAGGAGAGAAGCAAATGTTCACGTAGTCAATTTTTTTCTTATTTATTTTTTGCTTTGTTTTCTTATTTCAGTAATGATGAGTTCAATATGATCATTATTTTCCACTTACACTGCTTGCAACTCTAATATTTTGTTTTTGTTAGTCCCCCTTTGACAGTTCAGCACTAAATCAAATGCAGATAATCATCAGTTGTGTGAATAAAGTGTTTTTAATTGAGAACAAAATTATTGATATAGACACAAATTTGGATATTATCCTACTTAGCACAATATGTCGCTGGTTCAAAATGTAAAAACCTCTTTAGGCTGAGCAAATAATGGTTCTTGGAACTATTGTCCCATTTTGACAAATAAAACCCAATGCTTTTTATCTCATGGATAGATTATTAAAATAACTACATACCTGATCTTCATTTTATGTTCTCTCTCTTCAAGATATTCCTTCAAAACCACTTTGACTGATTAGTCTCTTTTGAATTATGTTAGACTCTGTATTTTCTCCACAAGCTCATCAGTGTAAATCCTGCCTTTACATTTTTTATAAAAATTCTCTTTTTTTTTCAAATCTTAGTTGAGCTGAAAGATTTCCACCAAATGTCTCCTATGCCACAAAGCCTTATTTTACTTATCTCCCCTGTCCTCCTTGCTCAAGCTCATTTAGGAATATTTTAATTAAAACATTCATGCAATACTGTTTTTTAAAAAATCTGAACATATAGTATTTTCAATCTGAATACAAAATAGTGCTCTAATTTGAAAACAAGTTTTAGAAACAAATGTTTCTAGAAGGAGAATCAACAGTGTCATAAATATCATAATCCAATTTTCCTGTTTGTACTAAAACATTAGCAAATATTTATTGAGGAATTGCCATCTGCCTGAAAGTATAATGCTTTTGATGCACATTATATCATAAAAACTAGGTACTATTATTAGTAGTATCTTAAGAGTATAAATATCGAGTCTTAGAGATGTTAAGCAACGTGCCCAAATAGCATGGGGAAAGTTGGAATTCTGAAATTCTGACTATGCTGTGCGTAGGATAGGAGAATCAAGGCTTGTCAAATGTAACTGTTAAGTCATTGTGGGGATACGGAGGCCTCTGATTGCTAGGGTCAATACACTTAAGCAGATCATGTCACTACTTAGTTAAATCTATTTCATTAAAGCAAAATTCCATAAAGATTATTGCCACCAAAACTATTAATTTTCCTTCCTTCCTTTCTCTCTTTATCTTTCTTTCTTTCTTTCTTTTCTTTCTTTCTTTCTTTCTTTCTTTTCTTTCTTGTCTTTCTTGTCTTTCTTGTCTTTCTTGTCTTTCTTTCTGTCTTTCTTTGAGACAGGGTCTCAGTCTGTTGCCCAAGCTGGAGTGCAGTGGCACAATCATGGCTCACTGCAGCCCCAGCTTCCCCAGGCTCCGGTGATCCTCCCACCTCATCCTCCTGAGTAGCTGGGACTACAGGCAGGCAATCCACTACGCCTGGCTAAAATTTTTTTTTTTTTTTGGTAAAGATTGGGTTTCACCATGTTGCCGAGCCTGGTCTGCAACTACTCAGCTCAAGCAATCCACCTGCCTTTGCCTCCCAAAGTATTGGGATTCCAGATGTAAGCCACATGCCTGGCCAAAAATATTATTTAACAAGTTCAATTTAACTATTAGATTTTGGACAATGAGGGATAGAATTTTCTACATCATAAATCATCTTGTGTTCTTTATTTAAAGTAATATGTAAGGATTTCAATTCAATTCAAATATATTTATTAGGAAATTAAATGTCTTTTTCAGGATTCCAAACTTTTGTTGAAGACATAAATGTTAAATGATGTCACTAATTTTAATTAGATTAACAGAAAGGTATTCTGGTGTTTAATAACAGTGACAGAATGGGCTATTAATTTTATTTTCTTTCCCTTTCTCCCTTTCCCCTTTTTAAAATATTTTACTTTTTAGGCTGTTTGGAATCCTGTAGATAGAGTTTTGGAGAATTAGACAAAACACTCACAGAAACTGCCAACCCTTGGATGAAATATATTGTTACTGTGCTTTGGGATTAAAATAAGTAACTACAGTTTATAGAACTTTTATACTGATACACAGACACTAAAAAGGGAAAGGGTTTGGATGAGAAGCTCTGCTCTGCAACCAGGAATCTCAGCCACTCATTTCTGTTGGAGCTGCAGGAGCTCCCTGTAAAGAGAGATTATGGAGTCTGTAGCTTCAGGAAAGATACTTAAAACCCTTCAGAGTTTCTCCATTTTTCCCAGAGTTTCCCCAAAAAGGTTATGACATTTTATAAGAATGCTTCACTTGTGAAAAACTAATACCAAGTCTTCTTGTAATTTATATTTAAGGATAAATCTTTATTCCATGTTTAATTTATTTCACTTATCCTGTAACTAATATTTCATGCTGAACACATTTTAAATGCTGTAAATGTAGATAATATAATTTATGGATCATTAATGCCTCTTTAGTAGTTTAATGTCAAAAGAAATGACCCCAGAATAAGCTTCTTGATTTGTAAAATTCTATGTCATTGACTCAAGTTTGTATGGCATCTCAAAATATAAATATAGACATCTCAGATAATATATTTGAAATAGCAAATTCCTGTTAGAAAAGAATAGTACTTAACTAGATAAGAATAACAGGTCACCATTGTTTGAATTGTCTCCTATTAATTTTTGTTCTGTTGTGTTACTCATGTTTTACTTATGGGGGATATACATAACTTCTGCTGTTTTCAGAATTATTGTATGCAGTCAGTATGAGAATGCAATTTTAGTTTCCTTGATGCTTTCTCACACCTCTATTACTAGAAATAAGAATACAGTAATATTGGCAAAGAAAATTGACCAGTTCAATAAATTTTTTTAGTAAATCTGATTGAAAATAAACATTTCTTACGGCTTTCTTACATCAATATTGTTATGTCTTAGACTACCGTATCTGAAATTAAGGCTTTGAAATTCTAATTATGTGCAAATGTGTAAAATATCATCACCTAACGCTATATAATATATTCTATTTCTATACTGTGATGGCAGGTTTATAATTCTGGAAAGATATACACAACATAAAATTTACCTTTTTAATCACTTTAAGTGCACAGTTTTGTGGCATTAAGTATATTTGCACTATTGTGCAACAGTCACCACCATAGACCTCCAAAACTTGTCTTCTTCTCCAACTAAAATGCTTTACTCATTGAACACCAACTTCCCATTCCTCTCCCTCTCCTTCCCCCTAGCAATCACCATTCTACTTTCTGTCTCTACAAATTTCACTAAGTAACTCATAGAAGTGGCATGATAGAATGTTTGAATTTTTCTGACTGGCTTATTTCACTTAGCATGTCTTCAAGTTTCATCTATTTTGTAGCATGTGTGAGAATATATTTTAAGGCTGAATATTATTATGTTGCCGTATATACCACATTTTGTTTAACCACTCATCCATCAATATTCACATGGGCTGCTCCCTCCCTTTGATTATTGTGAATAATATTGCTAACGGACACGCTGCACAAACATCTTTTTGGTCCCTCCGCTCATTTATTTTGGATATGGATTTGCATTTTAATACAAAGGAGAAATTACACAGCTTTTTAAAAGTGTCCAAATAAAAAGGAGCACAACATCAGTAAAATATTAGAAAGTAGATTGGGGGGAAAACAGGGAAGGAATTGAACCAAAAGTCAATAAGCTGCATAAGAGAGTTGCAAGAGGAGGAAAAAATTGACAATATTAACATAGAATTAAAGAGCGATAGGTCGATATTTAGAAAATTGTCGCATGTACTCATATGTCGCCTGTGAACTGACATTTACATTATTTTATTATTCCAGGTTTCCAAAAGTAAGTGCAATATGAGAGTTTCATGATGCTAAGTAAACTGAAACATGCTATATATTTTGATATATTGTCCTTGAGAGGAGGCTGAGTGGTAATTAGTGCAATTTTAAATTATGATATGATAATGCAGTCAATCTGCCAAACTGAAAAAAAGTATATATACAATATGTATACATTTCTCGCAAAATTCAGTTTTATCATACAATTAAATTATGATTTAAAACTACCTGACAATTAATGGAGGAAAAAATAAAACAACATTTGCATTAATATTACCATAATTTTGATATTATTGTAAATATCAAAATATGTAGTACTTAGAGATAAACCAGCAAAAAAGAGAAACATTTGAAAACTACAAAACTACAAAATATTGCTAAAATAAACGAGACCTAAATAAATGGAATTTATGAGTCATAAATCTCAATATTGTTAAGATGTCTACTCTTTCCACATTGATCTATAACAATTCCAATCAAATCACAGCTGGATTTCTTATTTTAGAAATTGAGAAACTAAAATTCTGAAATGTACATCGATGGGTAGAGGACCTATAATGGCAAATTACTTTGAAAGGAAACAGTTACTTTGAAACCAGGTGCTGCTGGAGAATTAACAGCACCTGGATTCAAGACTTATAACATTACAGTAATACTTAAGACAATGTAGTACAAATATAGATATACACATGTATATCATCTATCAGCTAATTTTTGATAAAGTTCTTAGACCATTCATGGACATAACATTTTCAACAAATGCTTCTGAAACAATTAGATATCCCAGTATATATTTGTGTGTGTGTGTGTGTGAAGCTCAATACTTCACACCTGAGAGGTATGAGTGTGCATTACAAAAGAGAACTGGGAAGCTTTGAGAGTATTGGATATGCTCATTGTCCCCTTCATGGTGATTAATGGGCACATGTACATATCAAATTCATCTCATTTACACTTTAAATATTGGAAGTGTGTTTTATGTTCGTTAGACATGAATAAAGCTGCAAAATGTTATCAAAATATTCACTTACTATGCTTTTATTCATTTTCATCTCTCTATAAACTTTCAGATAGAAAATGCAGTTGAAAGATATTTCATAAAGGAAGAAAAAGTAAGAATACAGGTGAGAGATATTACTGAGATTTTCTTTCAGTGCAATTCTGGTCTTTTCTGACTAGCAATATTTTTATGTGCAGAAGTAGTAGAAAAGATAAATATTTTGTACAGTAGAAAAACGCATCATTTCTGTGCCATGGAAGAGAGAACTCACAAAGATGACAGCTTCTGGCTATGTTGGATACTAACCAGTACTGTAAGTACCCAGCGATCTGACGTTAACATTGGCTGTAAAGCTCCTTTAATGTTCCTTGCAATGATTTGAACCTGTTACTGGAACCCTCATCGCTTATTGAGTTGAAAAACATTGTTGATATGTGTTTATCTTATATTTGCAGTAGAGTCATAATTTTACTTCTTAGAAAATTATACATTAAACAAAAAAGACACATGAAATTGTATATTGTTTAATGTTTCAACTGTGATAATCACTCCATATGCATATTTAAATTCCTATTTGATAAAGGATAGGAAATACAGAAAGAATTCTTGTGATAATAGAGAACACAGAACTGTTGAAAGGTGTTGAAGCTGAGCTGGAGAGAGTCACCAAGGCTGGCGCCAAAGCTGGCAAGGTCGGAGGGTTTCCTGCCTGGGTGGCACAGCTTGAGCTCGCCCTGCATCACGAGTGGTGGAAACTGCAGACCCAGCTGGGCCCGGAGGCCTCTGCCTCAGCCTCCCGCCCACTAGGAGCTGCGCTGAGGTCCCAGATAGGCGACCCTGGCGGGGCGCCCCTGAGCGAAGGGGGGACAGCAGCAGGAGACCAGGGTCCAGGGACCCACCTCCCACCGAGGGAACCTCGAGCCTCCCCTGGCACCCCTAGCTTGGTCCGCCTGGCCTCCGGAGCCCGGTGTGCATCCTGGTCATGGGGACACCCACCAGGTGCCCGGGAGTCCCCCTCCGCCACAGCCTGCGGCTCCGCCGGCCCTCAAGCCTGGTGCGGGGACTCCAGCCCCGTCGCCTCTGCTCCTGCCAGGCCGGGACCTGTCCTCCTCCTGGGCGCCCGGCAGTAGGGGCGATGCACACTGCCCGCTGCCCTGCACAGCCTTTCGCCGCACATCACCTCTGGCCCCTCCGCCCCGGGCCAGGACCTTCCTGGCCACACAGAACCCCCCTTCCTTCCCGCTGCAGAGCTGCTGCGCTTCCCCCACCCACAGGGAAAAACGGCCGATCTCCAACCAAACAGAAATCTGTGTGTGACTCCTCTGGTTGGATACTGCCAGTCCCCACATTTTCTTCCGGGAGTTTTCTTGGCAGAAGGTGCCCAATGTTTGATGTTTCGCCAGCCATGAGGCTGAAAAGTGACAGCAATAGAGAAACACATCAGGCTTTCCGCGACAAAGATGACCTTCCCTTCTTCAAAACTCAGCAATCTCCACGGCACACAAAGGACTTAGGACAAGATGACCGAGCTGGAGTGCTCGCCCCAAAATGCAGGCCCGGAGTGGGTCACCTCCTTAGGGCAGGCCCAGGCTTGTCCTGGCTGCCCGGGCACCTTTCTCCTCACTCCCACCCAATGCAGGGGACCCCAAAACTCGGCTGTTGGGGCTCCCTGCGCCTCCCTCCACAGAAGCCACCTCCTGCCCTCCAAGCTGGGGGTCTCCTGGGGCGTCCTGGGCTGAGAGGGAAAGACGCCAGCTCCGCAAGCCGGGAAGGGAACACCGCCACATTGTTACACGCACACACCACCACACTGTCACATGTACAGACACACGGAGACATTACCACACGGAGACACCGTCACATGGACACACTGGCACATTCACATGGACGGACACACAGACATACGGAGAAATCCACACGGACACACCACCACACTATCACAGGGACACACAGACACACGGAGACGTCACCACATGGACACACCACCACACTATCACAGGGACACACACAAGAGACATCACTACACTGTCACATGGACACACCATCACACTCACACGAACACAAAAACACACTGCCACATGGACACTGCCACACACACACACACCGCCTCACTGTCACATGGACACACCTCCACACTGTCAGACACCACCACACAGACACTGCCATGTGGAAACAAGGACACACAGACACTGTCACACGGATACACAAACACACTGTCACACGGAGACATCACCATGCAGATACATGAACACACCACCACATGGACATAGCACCACACAGACACTCTGCCACACGGACACACCACCACACAGAAATGCGGACACACCACCACACAGACACACCACCACGCTGCCACACAGAGACACCACCACATCGTTGCCACACTTTCATGTGTCAGCTGGCGGTGTGGGCCCCATGACTCTGGGCTCTAATAGAGAAATTACTTAGGCATATAGTGAAGGCAAAATAATTTTTTTTTTCCTGAGGCGTAGTCTCGCTCTGTCCCCCAGGCTGGACTGCAGTGGTGCAATCTCGGCTCACTGTAAGCTCCGCCTCCCGGGTTCACGCCACTCTCCCGCCTCAGCCTCCCGAGTAGCTGGGACTACAGGAGCCCGCCACCAAGCCCGGCCACCTTTTGGGTGTTTTTAATACAGACGGGGTTTCACCTTGCTAGCCAGGATGGTCTCGATCTCCTGACCTCGTGATCTGCCCGCCTTGGCCTCCCAAAGTGCTGGGACTACAGGCGTGAGCCACCGCGCCTGGCCAAGAATTTCTTTCCATCTCCTGTGTCATTGCTTTGGCAGTGGAAATGCGCGTGGCCTCTAGAGTGGGTCCCAAGGTCAGGAAGGCCTGTAAGGTGGAGGGCAAGGTCTCTCTTTCCAGGCTGGAATGGAGGAAGATGTGGTGGCTGAGGGGCTGCATGTCCTCCTCACAGCAGGCCCCTGAGAACATTTATCCTCCTGAGCCGCGAGTGTCCCTCAGGGGTGTCTAAAGCGCTGGGTGGGGCCTTTATAGGCCTTAGGAGCTCTGGCCCATTAGTGGTGCGTAAAACGCAGAGGTGAACACCATAGAACAACAGGTCCAGGAGAATTTTGTAAAAGCTCTGAGGATGCCCTTTTTTGTTCTCCCACTGCAAAATTGTTTTAAAAAGGAAAAAATCCAGCAATGTCCGGGGAAAGTCAATACTGAGTGTCAGCGCGGGATGCTGCCGCTGATACGATCCCGGCGTCCTGGCCGAAAGTGGCCTCCTCGGGGACCGCATCTCCGCGCACCATGGCAGCAAACGCCAGCGGTTTGTGGGCAGATGGTGTCCCTGTGGCCATCCCCGCTCCTGAGTGCGGAAGGACAGACAGGAGCGGGGACTTCTGGGTGTTCCTGGTGTCAGCCAGCTTGACGCCGTTGTTCCTCCTGGACGTCCGGGATTTGGAGAAGCACCTGGTTCCTGATGGAGGCCGTGGGCCTCTTGGTCCCCGCTTACCAGGCAGCGGCGCCGGCCTAGTTCTCAGCCCCGCCCCCGATGGGCGCCGCCTTCCATCAGGCCAAAGACTTTCCTCCAAACTGCCCTTCTTGGGGCGGGGAAGCAGCATCCTGGGCCTCCCCTGGGGCCTGTGGCGCTGGCAGCAGCTCCACGTTGAGGTCGCCTGCAGCCTGCACCGCGGAGCGCTGGAGGTCCCTGAACCCGGCGTGGGGAGGCCAATCCGCAGGTGCCTGGTGCCCAGTGCCGGTCGCAGTCTCAAAAGCGCCTGGAGGTGACATCCAGGAGCACCACCGCGCCGCCCGCAGGGAGACGCATGGCAAGGCGCGCCCCCTAAAGCGGCCAAGGAAGAAGCAGAAGGACAGGAAGGCACCCAGAGCTTGGGGTGATCTCAGGCCGCGCGCCCCAAGTTCCTGGTCTCTGGGAGGTTTTTTTTAAATTTCTTCCATATTATTATTTTTATTATTATTAACTTTTCAAGATGGATTAAAGACTTAAATGTTAGACCTAAAACCATAAAAACCCTAGAAGAAAACCTAGGCAATACCATTCAGAACATAGGCATGGGCAAGGACTTCATGTCTAAATCACCAAAAACAATGGCAACAAAAGCCAAAATTGACAAATGGGATCTAACTAAACTAAAGACCTTCTGCACAGCAAAAGAAACTACCATCAGAGTGAACAGGCAACTTACAGAATGGCAGAAAAATTTTGCAATCTACCCATCTGACAAAGGGCTAATATCCAGAATCTACAAAGAACTTAAACAAATGTACCAGAAAAAATCAAACAATCCCATCAAAAAGTGGGCGAAGGATATGAACAGACACTTCTCAAAAGAAGACATTTATGCAGCCAACAGACACATGAAAAAATGTTCATCATCACTGGCCATCAGAGAAATGCAAATCAAAACCACAATCCGGGAGGTCTTGCCAAAGACGATGTGGGCTTTCTGGGCAATGTCCAGCCTGAGCTGGAGCTTCTGGGACGCGGTCAAGTGGTCCTTTGGAGATTCCACGGCTTCGGATCCCTACTGCAGGATGCTCCGCTGTGTCTGCCAGCCTCTGGCGTTTTGCTGAGGGGTAACCTCGGAATGTATAGAAATAAGAACACTGGGATGGCCCAGTCATGCCCCAGGCATTCCTGCACACAGTGGTGGCAAAGGCAGGCGCTCAGACAAAGTGCCCGGTCGGCTTGGTGAGAGTACTTTACAGGTTAGTGACAGACTTGGTCCCGTGCTTGTGTCCTCTCATGTTTTCAGTTAACCTGCGGACGCCCAGGGGCTCCTCCATCTCCACCGTGTTCTCCTCGGGCTGAAGCCCAAAGTCCCCCATTTTCTCCTCAAACGGCTCACAGAGCCACTTCTGCAGGCAGGAGAACAGCGGTGGGCTCAGTGGCTGACCTGGGAAGCCACATCTGAAGGAACTGCTGGGTGACTATGGCCGTAAGTCAATCAAAGCAGACTTTCCCTGGCTTGCTGCGCTACATTGATTTTGTTTTCATATTTTAAAAGACGCAGAAGGGAGGTCCTAGGAAATTTGCCCAATGCAGATGCTGACAAGAGTGGTGACATGAAAAAGATTACCCAGAAGGAAAACAAGAGCTATTTTCTAAACATCTGAAATCTGTGTAGGCTTTTGGAAAAGTGAAACTAGATGCAAAGCAGCATGATATAATTCTGGCAATTTCCACTGACACAGAACTCAGTCAATCTGAATTAATCTAAGGGTTACAAGGAAAATGGCACTCCAAGAGGTACCTATTGACATCACTCAGCTGCTGTGAAATAGGCTTACAGACAACACGGAGTGTCAATTATCCAATGTTTAAAGTCAGTGATACAGATTGGACTACAATCTCTATGGCTCATAAAGTCTTCTTTAAAGGATTGATAGATGATTTATCTCATATGTAGACAATGATTCTCAGCAGTTAGCTAGCACAACTTGCTAATATCAATTGCTTGAGAAAATCAGATAATTGCTTGAGAAAATTAGGACATTGCTTGAGGATGTTAGGTAATTAAATAAATTACTTTTTTTAAGAATAGTTTAATGTTTTGGCAAGTAGACTTTAAAATAGATTGGTAATATTTTAAAGGCTACTTTTAAAGAAGTAGCAATATAACATGTTTAATTATGAAAAATAATGTTGGAAACAATTCAATTTTCTATCAGATAATTTCACAAATATAGAAATACCATCTCAATAATTAGAAGAAGTAGCAGCAATTTCTGTCATTTTTATGCAAGTTACTCCTAGTCCATTTATCTGGTCTTAAATAGTGTTTTTAAAATTTGTTTTCAAACAAGGCAAATCATAAATAATAGAATATATTTTACAATAATTGAAGGTAACAAAAAATAAGAGCCATTTAAAAAATTGTATTAGATTGTTTAAAAATGTTGTGGGTACATAGTATGTGTATGTATCTGTGGGGTCCCTGAGATGTTTTGATACAGGCATGCAAGGTGAAATAAGCACATCTTGGGGAATGGGGTATCCCTCCCCTCAAGCATTTATCCTTCAAGTTATAAAAAATTCAATTACAGTCTTAGTTATTTCAAAATGTACAATGAAATTATTATTGGATATAGTCACCCTATTGTGCTATAAAATAGTAGGTCTTATTAACTCTCTATTTTTATACCCATTAACCATCCCCACCTTCCCACAAAATCCCCCCCCAACTACCTTTCCCAGCCTCTGATAACCATCCTTATACTCTCTATGTCCATGAGTTTGTTTTGATTTTAGATCCCACAAATAAGTAAGAACATGTAACATTTGTCTTTCTGCACCTGGCTTATTTCACTTAATATAATGATCCATAATGTTCCATCAGTGTTACTGACAATGACTGGATCTTGTTCTTTGTTACGGCTGAATAGTCCTCCATTGTGTATATGTACCACATTTTCTTTATCCATTCATCTGTTGATGGACACTAAGGTTTCTTCCAAATCTTAGTTTTGTAAACAGTGCTGCAACAAATATGGGAGTGCAGATATGTATTTGACATACTGATTTCCTTTATTTTTGGTAGAGACCCAGCAGTAGGATTGCTAGATCATATGCTAGCTCAACTTTTAGTTTATTGAGAAACATCCAAACTGTTCACCTTGGTGGTTTTATTAATTTACATTCCCAGGAGCAATGTACAAGTGTTCCCTTTTCTCTGCTTCCCTGCTAGCATTTGTTACTGCCTGTCTTTTGCATACAAGTCATATAAACTGTGGTGAGATGATATCTCATTGTAGTTTTGATTTGCATTTCTCTGATGATCAGTGATATTGAGCACCTTTTCTTATACCTGTTTGCCATTTGTAGGTCTTCTTTTGAGAAATATCTATTCGAATCTTTTGCCCCCTTTTTTTTAGCCAGGTTATTAGATTGTTTCTTAAAGAGTTGTTTGAGCTTTTTATATATTCTGATTATTAATCCTTTGTTGGATGAGTAGTTTGCAAATATTTTCTCTCATTCTGTGGATTATCTCTTAACTTTGTTGCTTGTATCATTTTCCGTGCAGAAGCTTTTAACTTAATGTGATCCATTTGTCCATTTTTGCTTTGGTTGCCTGTGCTTGTGGGGTATTGCTCAAGATATTTTTGCCCAGACCAATATCCTGGAGATTTCCCCCAAAGTTTTTTTGTACTAGTTTTATAGTTTGAGGTCTTAGCTTTACATCTTTAATCAACTTTGATTTTACTTTTGTATTCAGTGATAGATACTAGTCTGTTTTCATTCTTCTGCATATGGATATCCAGTTTTTTCAACACCATTTCCCACCAGTGTATGTTCTTGGCACCTTTGTCAAAAATGAGTTCACTGTAGGTATGTAGATTTGTTACTGGGTTCTCTATTGTGTTTCATTGATCTATGGGCCTCTTTTTATGCCAGTACCCTACTCTTTTGGTTACTGTAATTCTGTAGTATAATATGAAGTTAGATAATATAATTCCTCCAGTTTTATTTATTTATTTATTTTTGCTTAGGATAGTATTATTTCTTATACTGAAAGCATTCTATGTTATTATTAGTCTAATTTTGCAGTTTTACAATGCTATCCTCTTTTACAAAGCTGTGATCAACTCAAAGTCCAGATCAGGGTCAATTGTAGCTATTTGCAAAAGTAGCAATATTCTGGCCAGGGGTGGTGGCTCATGCCTATAATCCCAGCACTTTGGGAGGCCAAGACAGGCAGGTCACCTGAGGTCAGAGGTTCAAGACCAGCCTGGCCAACATGGTGAAACCCTGTCTCCAATAAAAATACAAAAATTAGCCGGGGATGAAGGCAGATGCCTGTAATCCCAGCTACTCAGGAGGCTGAGGCAGGAAAATCACTTGAACCCGTGAGGTGGAGGTTGCAGTGAGCCCAGAATGCACCATTGCACTTCAGCCTGGGTAACCAAGTGTGACTCCGTCTCAAAAAAAAAAAAAAAAAAAAAAGTACTATACTGTGTAATTATTGAGAGCATAATTCACTATTATGTGGATCAGAGAGCAGAGCATTCTGAATGCATGAACATATCTTTAACATTTCAATACATTACTCATAATTACTAATGAACTAAAGAGAAACCAAGAAATTATGGTGATAGTTATATTGACTTGGTGAAATGTAGACACAAAATAACGGTAAGATGAGAAATGTGTTAACACAGGCTATAAGGGCATGCAAGAATAAAAATAGGGGAGAAAACAGGAGAGTTTTTCAAGAGCTTTCTGGTCATGTAAGTCAATTTGTATCGGTTAATTTTTAAAAGGTTTATTTACATGCAATAAACTGCACATACTTCAATTGTACATTTTGATAATTCTTGGCATTTGTAGCTCTACAAAACCAACAACATATGAAAATAGCAAACATATCCATTACCTTTACCACCAAAGTTTCCTTGTGCTTTTTCTACTCACTTTTTCCTGCCTATCCCCATTCCATCCACAGGCAACCACTGATCCACTTCTAGTCACTATCCGTGAGTTTTTATTTCCAAATACATAAAATCATAGGGTATGTATACTTTCTGATCACTCAGCATCACTATTTTTGAGATTTATTCATGTTGCTACATCTATCAATTGTTCTGTTCTTACTAGGGAGTATTATTTCATTATATACAGATACCATAGTAAGTTTATAAGTCACAAATTCACCTGTCCATGGATATTTGGACTATTTTCAGGTTTTGGCTGTTGCAAGTAAAGCTGCTATGAAGATTCATGTAAAATCCTTTGAATGGGCATATGCTCTTAGGTTTTCATCTCTACTGGAATAGATAGCTATATGGCTATCATGTCTGTAATATGCAAACACAAAGCCTGACAAAACTGATTTCTAAAGTGGAAATTCCACTGGAGAACCTTGACTCCAACCTGGCTTTTGAGATTATCTCCTATGTCTGGTGCAATGATTGGTCCTGGGGTAGCCACATGACGCAAGGGGGACCATGTTTAAACTTCTGAGTTTTCACCGAGGTTAACATGCATTTGTTGAAAGAGAAACCCCTTTTCCCCTACTCCCCCAGCTGCAAATGCCTTCAGGGATTATATCATGTTGGAACATTTGGTTACAGTGTTTCCTAAACTTTGGGGGTAAAAATTGTTCAAGTAGGTAAAAATGGAGCACACACAAAGAAAAAAGGAGTCCAGAAATATCAAATAAAGAAAGGGCCTCCATAAAATCATTTGAACTTATGATTAATTCATTAGTCATTAAAATAAGTTTAGTGTACAAAGAATCATCCCTCCAACCACCCTTTATTCCTTCACCAGGTTTAAGTTACATTTTTAAACTTGCAAACAAAAGATTTGTCATTAACTTAGACATCAAAATCCCTTGTCTCCAAGAGCAATCATTCAACTCTGTCCCTCTCATTATTACAATAATATGTTCACTTTATTCTACATACACCTGCTCGTTGCCCTTGTCTCCCTATTCTATTCTGTTAAAGTTATATCCAGACATTTATTTCATTTTATATCAAAGAAACTGTATACACGTTTTTAATCTTAGAAAAATTTCTGAGTAATCTTTTGTCTCATATTCGATTTTAAGCCACCCAAGAAGCATTATTTTTTCATTTAGCATTTTAACTTTTCTAACCCAGGACTTTTATAGTAGATATTATGTCTTTTTCTAAATGTTCTGCTTCAATTTACATTTTAAATCTAATTTTTAAAAAGTGTATGTTTTGAATATTAGCATCATGCATCTCAGGCCTAAATATCCCTTGATAACTAATATTGTCCTTTTTTCTCTACATTTTTCACATATTTCAATAGGGAGCTATATTGCCTGCCACAATAAAAGTTTTTGTCAATATAACATAACACATAGGCAAAATATTGTTTCCAAGTGATTGATGATGTGGTGCCTTCAGTCTAGTCCCAACCCCTCAATGTAATCATCATCCCTAAATCTAATGAAATAGGAAATAAATATTTCATTTTGTTTCTAAAATTCAGCAGAAAAATATACAGCCTGTCACATATAGCCTGTAACACCAACATATAAAAATTAAAGCAGTTCCTTCTCCACTCCCACTGCTTCACTTGACTAGCCTTAAAAAATAATAATAATAATAAATAAAAGCAAAATTGTTCCTTTACTTATCTTTGAAATCTAATGGATATACTATCAGAAAAGCTCTTATGTATATGGAGGGCCTCTATAAAATATAAACTGTTAACTAGAAAAGTAGATTTATATGATAGTTAAATTTAAAACACAATTATATATAGTACCTTCCCAAATGCACCAGTACTTATTTCAGAATGCATGATGTAATTGACTAAACCATTTAGGGCTAGACCTCTGAAATAAAAGGCATTCACACTTTGTGATTCCTGGGGAAATATTCAAAATAGAAACTTGCAGAATCTTTACCTGATCATGATAAAAAAAATGTTCCTACTTGTTAATATGCCACAGCTTTTACAAGGTCAGCAAAAAGAGATTATCCCACAATAAAAGCTGATGGCCAAAATTATCTGCCTTACTTTAGTTACCATAATATCTATTAAGTGTAAATTTCTTCTGAAAGAAAACAGATACACTTTTCTCAGAAATGTCTTTAGATGAAGATCTAGCACATCTGTGTTCCTCACTTTTTAAAATGTTGATTTTATTGATAAATAAATATATATAGGGTACAATGTGGTACGATACATGTAGATATTGTGAAATGGACTAATTAGGCTAAATAACGTATCCTTCACCTCAGATATGTATTACATTATGGTGAAACATTTAAAATGTACTATTTTAGCACTTTTAAGATATGCACTACATTATGAGTAACTGCAGTCACTTTGCTGTGCACCATATCACCAGAATGTCTTTCTCCTAACTGAAGCATTATCCCATTCAATATTTCCCCTTTTTCCACCCCTGCTCCCCACCCTGCTCAGCCTCTGATAAACCACCATTCTATTCTTAACTTCTATGAGTGCACAGTTTTGGATTTCACATATAAGTGATACTATGAGATATTTGTCTTTCTGTGTCTGGCTTATTTTACTTAGCATAATGTCCTCTAAATTCATCCATGTTTTTGCAAATGACAGATTTTCATTCATTTATAAAGATAAGTAGTATTTTTGTATGCATCCTACATATACTTTTAACTTTCCACAGCTTTATTGAGATATAATTTATACATTGTGTAATTCACTCATTTAAAGTACAAACTTCAAATTCTTTTAGTATATTAACTGGATGGACAAATAATCATCATAATATAATTTTAGAACATTTTATTTTCCTTAAAAGAGACTTGCGCCCATTAGCAATCTTTCCCCATTTTCTCCAGTCTTTTTTAAACCCCTCCTAGTCTAGGCAACCACTCGTCTACTTTCTGACTATGAATTTGCCTATTCTGGACATTTCACATAAATGGAATTATAATAACACATAGTCACTTTTTACTCACATCTTTCACCTAACATATTTTTAATGTTCATCCATTTTGGAGCATGCATTAACAGTTTTTTACCTTTTCTTGCTAAATAAGATTCTATTTTATGGACACACCACATTTTATTTATCCACTCCTCAGCTGATGAACATTTCTGTTGTTTTCTACTTTGTGTTGCTATAAACATTTGTGTACTACTGTTTGTGTAGCATTTGTTTTATTTTCTTTTTGGTAAACACATAGGAGTGGAATTGCTGGGTCACGTGATAACTCTATGTTTAACCATTTGAAGAACTGCGAGACTGCTTTACATTTTAAAGTCTCACCAGTGGTGTAGAAGGGTTCCAATTTTTCCACATATTTTTATCTAGTCTTCAGTTGATAAGCACTTAGGTTGTTTCTAATTCATGGGTATTATGAATAATGCTGCAATGAACATGAAATTGCAGATGTCTGTTTTTGACATACTGATTAAAATTCCTTTGGACACGTATCCAGAAGTGGGATTGATGGATCATAGGGTAAATATATTTATAATTTCTTGAGGAAGCTTCATACTGTTTTCCAAGATGGCTGTGCTAATTTCCATTCTTACCAACAGTGCACAGGGTTTCTTTTTCTCCACATCCTCATCAACACTTATCTTCCATCTTTTTTTATAATAGCCCTAGTAAAATGTGTGAGGTGATATCTCATTGTGGCTTTGATTTGCATTTCTCTGATAATTAGAAATGTTTATGATTTTTTCATGTACCTGTTGGCCTTTTGTATGCCTTACGAAATGTCTATTCTGGTTCTTTGCTTATTTTTTTTAATAAGCATAGTTTTATTCTTATGTTTGAGTAGGTTGAGTTACTTATATATTATTATATGAGCCCCTTATCTGATGTATGGTTTAAAAATGTTATCCCATTTGTGGGTTCTCTTCATTCTATTATCACTTCTTTTCCTGTGGAAAAGCTTTTTAGTTTTATGCAATCTCATTCATGTGTTTTTGCTTTTGTTGCCTGTGCTTTTGGAATAATCTACAGAAAATCATAGCTCAGGCCAATGTCATACAGTCTTCTTCTGTATTTCCTTGTAGTAGTTTTACATTTAAGTCTTTAATTTTGATTTCATGCTTGTATAAAGAGCAAAAGAAAAGTCAAATTTTATTCTTCTGTATGTGGATAGTCAGTTTTTTCTACACCATTTATTGAAAATAATTTTCTTTCTTCATTGTGTATTTTTAGTTATTTTATCAAAAAGTCAATTGACCACAGACATACGGATTTATTTACGGGTTCTATATCCCTTTGCACTGTTCTACATGTCTGTTTTTATGCCACTGCTATGTTGTTTTAATTACTATAGCTTTGTAATATAGTTTGGAATCGGGTAGTCTGATGCCTCCAGCTTTATTCTTTTTGTTCAAGATTGCTTTGGTTAGTCAGGGTCTTTTGTGGTTTCATACAAATTTTAGCAGTAATTTTTCTATTTCTGGGAATTTGATAGTGGTTGCATTTAATCTGTAGATTGCTTTGGGTAGCATTGACACTTTTACAATACTAATTTTTGAATCAATCAATAAAGGATGTTTCTCCATTTATTTATGCCATTTTAACTTTTTTCATCAATGTGCTATAGTTTTCAGTGTGCAAATCTTTCACATTCTTGATTAAATTTACTCCTAAGTCTTTTACATATTTTTATATCTGTTTTGATTCTATTATAAATTGAATTGCCTTATTAATTTATTTTTCAGGTAATAGTTTGTCATTAATGTATAGAAACAATAATGCTATCTGTATGATTTTGTAACTATTAACTTTATTGAATTTCTTTATCAGCTTTAACCGTTTATTGTGGTGGAGTCTTTAAGATTTTCTCTACCTTGAGTGCGCCAGGCGCGGGGAGCCTAGGACCTGGAGCGAGAGCCGCCTACCTGCAGCCGCCGCCCACGGCACGGCAGCCACCATGGCGCTCCTGCTGCGCTTCGTGCTCCTGTGCAGAGTCGCGGATTTCATCAGAGGTTGGAGTATCACTACTCCTGAGCAGATGATTGAAAAAGCCAAAGGGGAAACTGCCTATCTGCCATGCAAATTTACGCTTAGTCCTGAAGACCAGGGACCACTGGACATCGAGTGGCTGATATCACCAGCTGATAATCAGAAGGTGGATCAAGTGATTATTTTATATTCTGGAGACAAAATTTATGATGACTACTATCCAGATCTGAAAGGCCGAGTACATTTTAAGAGTAATGATCTCAAATCTGGTGATGCATCAATAAATGTAACGAATTTTCAGCTGTCAGATATTGGCACAGATCAGTGCAAAGTGAAAAGAGCTCCTGGTGTTGCAAATAGGAAGATTCAGCTGGTAGTTCTTGGTAAGCCTTCAGGTACAAGATGTTACGTTGATGGATCAGAAGAAATTGGAAGTGACTTTAAATTAAAATGTGAACCAAAAGAAGGTTCACTTCCATTACAGTATGAGTGGCAAAAATTGTCTGACTCACAGAAAATGCCCACTTCATGGTTAGCAGAAATGACTTCATCTGTTATATCTATAAAAATGCTTCTTCTGAGTACTCTGGGACATACAGCTGTACATCAGAAACAGAGTGGGCTCTGATCAGTGCCTGTTGCGTGTAAACGTTGTCCCTCCTTCAAATAAAGCTGGACTAATTGCAGGAGCCATTATAGGAACTTTGCTTGCTCTAGTGCTCATTGGTCTTATCATCTTTTGCTGTCGTAAAAAGTGCAGAGAAGAAAAATATGAAAAGGAAGTTCATCACGATATCAAGGAAGATGTGCCGCCTCCAAAGAGCCGCACGTCCACTGCCAGAAGCTACATAGGCAGTAATCATTCATCCCTGGGATCCATATCTCCTTCCAACATGGAAGGATATTCCAAGACTCAGTATAAACAAGTACCAAGTGAAGACTTTGAACGCACTCCTCAGAGTCCGACTCTCCCACCTGCTAAGGTAGCTGCCCCTAATCTAAGTCGAATGGGCGCGATTCCTGTGATGATTCCCGCACAGAGCAAGGATGGGTCTATAGTATAGAGCCTCCATACGTCTCATCTGTGCTCTCCGTGTTCCTTTCCTTTTTTTGATATATGAAAACCTATTCTGGTCTAAATTTTGTTACTAGCCTCAGAATGTATCAAAAAATAAGTTAATCAGGAGCTGTAAGGAATATATTTTTAAAAATTTTTGTTTGGTTATATCGAAATAGTTACGGGCATTAAAGTTAGTAAAGACAAGTTTACCATCTGAAAAGGCTGGATTTTCTTTAAGAGGCTGATTATAAAGGTTTCTAAATGTTATCAGTACCTAAGTAAGATGTAGCACTTTGAGTATGAAATCATAGGTGAAGAAATCCGTGAACTTACTTGCATACCAAGTTGATACTTGAGTAACCATCTGAAAGTGGTACTTGATAATTTTTACCATTATTTTTAGGATGTGTATCTCATTTATTTATGGCCCACAAGTCTCCCCCAAATTAGTACAGAAACATCCCTGACAAAATTACTTATGTACGTTTGTACTTGTTTTCACAGCTCCTCGGAAAACTCTGTGTTAGGAATATCTCTAAAAACATAGAAAACACTACAGTGGTTTAGAAATTACTAATTTTACTTCTAAGTCATTCATAAACCTTGCCTATGAAATGACTTCTTAAATATTTAGTTGATAGACTGCTACAGGTAATAGGGACTTAGCAAGCTCTTTTATATGCTAAAGGAGCATCTATCAGATTAAGTTAGAACATTTGCTGTCTGCCACATATTGAGATGGCACTAGGTGCAATAGCAGGGATAGATTTTGTTGGTGAGAGGTCTCATGCCTTGAGATCTGTGGTGGTCTTTAAAATGGTGGCCAGCCAGACCAAGGATGTAGTATCTCATAGTCCCCAACTAAATGCTGGCTTTCCACTTTAGGTGATATTTTTCTAATTAGAAAAATATTATAACTCACTTATTGTTTGGCAATTATAGATTGAAATTTCCTAATTCTAAATTTTAAGTGGCTCTTCGGTTTCAGTGCTCTATGTTGTTTGTTGTTGGTTTTGGATGGCATTACATGTTATATGTTCTAGAAACATGTAATCCTAAATTTACCCTCTTGAATATGATCCCTGGATGATATTTTTATCATAAATGCAGAATAATCAAATACATTTTAAGCAAGTAAGTGTCCTCCATCAATTCCGTATTCCAGACTTGGGAGGATGTACAGTTGCTGTTGTGTGATCAAACATGTCTCTGTGTAGTTCCAGCAAATCAAGCTGAGCTTCAAAAAAGTTTGAGTCTCAGTTTTGTGAAAGTGATTTATTCTTAAAAAAAAAAAAAAAGAAAGAAAGAAAAAAAGAAAAAGAAAAAAAGATAAGAAAAAGGAATAAAGCAACCACTCCTCCTTGTCAAATGTGCTAAATATCATTTTAGGAGAAGAGAGTGGACTTATTGTATCTCCCTTAAGATTGTGAGGGAGTGTGGATACAGTAGAATGAGCCAATAGTTTCTTTATAATAAATACGGTCTGCAATAAATTATTTCACTAGCTCTAAAACCTTTCCCTAGATTTTAGTGGGGAGTTGGTTTCTGTTAATATCTTTGGGTGCTGTGGTGGTAAATGCTACATTATAAACGGTGGCATGTATTTACAGTTACAGTATTGTGTGTACACTTTTTAATGGTAAACTTAAGCTGAATGTGTAATGGACTTGTGTATAGTTTTACATATTTGGAAGCATTTTAAAAATAGGTTTTAACCTTACATAAAATTACTTTTATACTTGTGTTAACATTTTCTTCTGTGCCTTTTGGGTAATTTAATTTCTGTTATGAATTTCTGGTGCCTATGAGCTAGCTATCACCTACCTGAAAGTTGCTTAGAGGTGAAGGTACTGTTTCTAAAAACACATCACTGTGACATCTTTCTATCCTCATATTTTCAAGCTTGCCTCTTTTCTGTTCTTTGTGGATATAACTTAAGTGATTGTGTTATTCATAAAGATTTAGAAATTTCAATATTCCCAACACTCTGACTATGTTTCTGATTTTATAACAGTAGCCATTTTTGAATGTCAGATGTTTGGCCTGTTTTATATGAATAAAGTTTATTTATAAAATATTATAAAAATAAGTAAATAGAACATTAATAATAAAAAAAGATTTTCTGTATCTTAAGATTATATTTTCAGAAAACAGAAACAATCTTACCTCTTCCTTCCCTATATGGATTTCTTTTATTTCTTTGTCTTGTGTAGTTGATCTGGCTAGGCAATTACACATAATGTTTTCAGCATTTGTAATTTTACATCAAATCCATCCATTGTAGCACATTGACTGCTACTTTTCAACTTGTAAACCTGGACATTTATCACCACTCTTCCTCCAGTACAGGAGTCCATGGCCCGGTGTGGGCCCTACTGTGCCACAGTCCAGGGCACGGCTGGGCGCAGGTTCTCTCGTGCAAGAGTCCGCAGCTCTGCGGAGCAAGAGTTCTCCAGTGCCTTAGACCAGGGTGAGGCAGGGGTGAGGCTCCTTCAGTAGCTCAGTCCAGGACGCAGCCCTGCGAGGGTCCTCCTGTGCAGGAGTACACGATGCTGCGGGGTCCTACTGTGCCTTAGTCCAAGACGCCAGGGGGCTGGGTCCTCTGGTGCCATAGTCCAGGATGCGAGGGGCTGGGTCCTCTGGTGCCATAGTCCAGGCTGCCGGGAGCTGGGTCCTCTGGTGCCATAGTCCAGGGTGCAGTGGAACAGGAGTCCTGTGGAGCAGCAGTCCAGGGCGCGGTGGGGCATGGATTCTCAGGTGCCGCAGTCCAGAACACTGCAGGGCGGGATTCCTGCCTTGCTATATCCAGGGTGCCGCGGGGCGGGGGTTCTCTTGTGCAGGAGTCCAGGACGTGGCGGAGCAGGAGTCCTCCGTGTAGGTGTCCTCCGGTGCTGGAGTCCAGAGCTCAGTGAGGCTGGGTCCTCCCGTGCCATAGTGTAGGGCATGGCGGGACAGGGATCCAGCCCTGCGATAGTCCAGTGCTTGAGTCCGCAGTAAGGCAATGGTCCTCCAGTGCTGGAGTTCACGGTGTGGTGGGGTCGGGGTCCTTCGGTGACTTAGTCCAGGGCGTACCAGGGCGGGGTTCCACAGTTGCCATAGTGAGGATCCTGGAGGAGGGTGGTTCCTGCCTTGCTGTAGTCCGGGGAGCAGGGGGCAGGGGTTCTCTCTTGTCAGAGTCTCTGGCGCGATGGGGGTGGGCTGGGGGTTTTCCTATGCGATAGCCCACTGGGCGGTGAAGCCGGGTCCTCCCGTGCCTTTGTCCAGGGTGCAGGGGGGCGAGGGTCTTCAGTGGTGGAGTCCGTGGAGCAGCAGGGCGGGGGTCCTGCAGTGCCATATTCCAGGCCGCTGCGGAGTGGGGGACCTGTCCTGCAGTGGTCCAGGGCATGCGGGAATGGTGGTCCTCCTGTGCCATAGTCCAACGCGCAGCGGGGCGGGGGGTCACCTCGTCCTGCGGTCCACCAACCACGAGGCCCGGGTGCTGCTGTGCCTCAGTCCAGTGCGCGGTGGGACGGCGGTCCTGCTGTGCTGTAGTGCAGGACGCGGTGGCGCAGGGGTAGTCCAGAGAGCGCCGTGGCAGGGGGTCCTCCAGTGCTGGAATCCAGTGCAAGGCGGGTCAGGGGTCTTACCGTGCCGAAGTCGGTGGCAGGGGTCCTCCCGTGCCATAGTCTAGGGGGCGACGGGGCAGGGTTCTCTAGTGCAGGTGTCCAGGGTGTGGCAGGGCAGGAGTCCTCTGGTGCAGGAGTCCAGAACCTAGCCGAGGAGTCCTCCAATGCCAGAGTCCAGGGCTCTGCGGGGCCGGGTTCCCCCATGCCAGAGTGTAGGGCGTGTTCAGGCGAGGGTCTTGGCGTGCAGTAGTCCAGGGTGCGGTGGGGCAGGGGTAGTCCAGACCTCCATGGCGGGGGTCCCTCTGTGCAGGAGCCCAGTGCCCGGCGGATCGGGGGTCCTTCCGTGCTGTAGTCCGGGGCACGGCAAGGTGTGGGTCCTCTGGTGCCCTAGTTCGGGGGCGGCGAGTCAGAGGTTCTCCCGTGTCTTGGTCTAGGGCGTGGAAGGACTGGGGTCCTGGAGTCCACGCGGTAGCACAAGTTGCCCCAGGACCAGGTCCTCTGGAACCACAGTCCAGGGCGCTGAGGGGCAGGAGTAGTTCAGGGCGAGCCGGGGCCAAGGTCCTCGGGAGCCAGAGTCCAGGGTGTGGAAGGGTGGGGGTTCTGCAGTGCACAGTCCAGGACACCGCGGGGCGGGGCAGGGCGGGGATCCTCCGGTGCCTTAGTCCAGGGCTGAGCCGCGGTAGAGGTCCTTCAGTAGCATAGTCTAGCGCACGGCGTTGCAGGTGTCCTCCAGTGCCTGAGACCACGGCAGGTCGCGGGTCCCACTGTGCTCTAGTTCAGGATGGAGCAGGTCTGAGGTCTTCTGTTGCCTCAGTCTAGGGCGCTGGAGAGCGGGGATCCTCTGGTGCCAGAGTCAATGGATCCACCGGTCGGGGTCCTCCCATGTCTTAGCCCCGGGAGGGGAGAGGCGGGGGTCCTCCTTTGCCCTAGTCCAAGGCATTGTGAGGCCCCGCTCCTGCATTCTTAACTGTCTGTGCCTCTGCCGCCGCGGGGGAAAACTGCACCATCTCAGGCAAGCCTAACAGAGCAGCTGTCCTTAAAAGATTCCCAGTTGAGTGTGGTTCGGAGCAGGCCTGAGAAGTGTGCCCTTAGATGGCTTCAAGGGCTCTGGGCAATGTTTAAGGAATCCAGCTGACCTCAGTTACTCCGAGCCCTTTTCCACTCAGCAGAACTTCTGGCCACCGGGTCCTCTATCTGCGGAGCCCTTCTATCATCCCAGATCCCCACAGGGTGGACTCCGTCTCATCCTCACAATCTCAGCTCAGGCCTTATTCATCACAGCATTCCTGGCACCAGGCCTGGCCCATGAGAAATTGGTCAGATTAAGAGCTAAATGTGTTTCCATGGTCACTTGTTTTCTTCAGGCCTCCTTTCTTTGTGCCAGCATCTTTGGGTTTTGGTTAAAGTTTTCAGCAGCTGCATGAAGTTCCATTTTTCTTACCAGGTAAGAGACATAGCTTCATGAAAACAAAGGCAGAACGCTTGTGACCAGAGAACTCCCAGTCCTCTCCCTGCATAGGAAAACTGGACTTCTCCGGAGGGCTCCAGCTCCTGGGCAAATCTCTAGGGCCACTTAATTGGGCTGTCCCCCACCTTTGTTTCTGGTTTTGAAGGGGCGGAAGTTGGGAATCCTTTCTAAGTCTCTACACATGGAGCCCTTCTTTGGTGGGAAAGTCTTGACATATACCAGGATTGTCATTGACCTTTCAGAGCCTTCAAGAATCCTGAGCTGCTTTGGCTTCTGTTCCTGGAAGAGAGGCCACTGAACTGCTCTGGAGCTGGAGTTCAAGTTCAAATATTCATCACTGTTACTAAGCCTTTACATAGCATGTGATTTCTTTCCGGCAGGCTCATGGTCACTTAGGTTTGCTTGTATGTAGATGGAGTGGTCTGCATCCTCATTCAGGTAACACCCCCAGCCTTTCATGCTGAGATTGGCCATTTTATTTGTAACTCACTGTACAATCCATTTGCTCTTCCAGTGTCCCTTAGAAGGATGCAGAGTGTACTGTAGAATGCCATAGAGACCTGGGTTTAGGGAAAATATTTGACCCAAAGTCCGCCAACTCACATGAGTATCTCCCCACAACTTGTACCGTGCTAGTCTCTGGGTATATAGCAAATGAAACCGTGCCTGAACAGATGTTACAAACACCCTCCCCTGAGAGACTCCAGGGCTGCTTTATTCATGCAAAACGGTGGGCTCTAATAAGCTCAGAGCTGAGAGGAACAAGTTTTCATTCCAGCGTTCTCAAAAACTCCCTTTGTGACTTTAGGCCTAATAATAATAACACTACCTAGGTAGTGAACACCTCTGTGCCAAGAAATATCATGATCATTGCCTGAGTTGTAATTCTCACAGTAGTCCTGCAGGACAGCTGCTATTACTGCTTATTATGCAGATGGGCAACCTGAGGCTCAGATGGAGTTAAGTGGCTTAATTGGTAGCAATAGAGCCAGGATTTGAACCCAGGGCTGCCTGATCACCAAATAAAATTGTACTCAACATGATGCACTTAACTTTTCTGGCCTCATTTCTCTCACCTGTAAAAATGCATATTTCAGATGTTTGTAATATTTTACCTGTGGTTGAAAGAGTTACCAGCCCTTCCTTGATCACCCATGGTAAGACCCATGAGCCTCTGAATATAATTATAGAAAACATTTGGAGAGGGATGGAGAGAAACAAGATCATGCCTCCTTTGATAATGTCAAATTTTCAGTGCACGAAGCCATACATAGTGCAGTTTTCTAGCTTCCCTTTCACACATGGCGTTGAAGAAAGTAAATTAAGCAACTCAGCTAACACTGGGAATGCAGCAGAAGTCATCGAGTTCAGTGCTGGGAGACAGTTGCCATGATATTCCAACATGGACACCAGGATCACAGTCGATGACTATGCCCTCCCTTGAAGATGGTGGCTTGCCTCTCTTTCTGTAAGCACATGTCATGTCATAACAATATTAAACAATTAAAAGTAATGTCCCCATCTTCTTCTACACTGCCTTTGAATTATTATTTTAGATCTGCCAAAATAAATTGCAAACTCATTAACAAGAAATGGGGGTGCCTGCATCCCTGCCTTCCTGAGTAGTCTATTCACCCAAAGACAAAAGGGTGACCAGCCTCCATCTGGGATATTCAAAGACACAGTCACCCTGCCATGCAGCCTGAGGCTGGCGAAGGTCCAATCCCCTTTTTAAGAAGCTTGTTGGATGAGCTTCATAAACATACAACCACAAAGGAAAGGCACAGCTGATGTGAGCGAGGCTGATAAGATGGGCATTTTGTCTGCTTCAAGGTTAGAATGCAACTTGTCTGTCAAAATGTGGTTATCTGACCTCCACAATGCTGCAGTCCAGCTAAATCCTGCAAATATTCATCCACCATTTACTATGGATAAAACAATAATGTGCTGTGGGGAATCCAATTACACACACACACACACACACACACAAAAGTGCACACACACATGCATGCACACACACTGCTCCTGCTGTCTCAGAGGTTCCATGCTGGCAAGGCAGAAGTGCAAACATTAGCAGGTAAGTCCACTAGCAGGAGGAATGTGATAAGTAGATCCAACAGGGTACAACACAGTATGATAGAAGCAAACAAGGTAGAAATGAGTTCTGACTCCCTTTCACTTATGAAACTGATTATGGAATAGTGTATGAAAGGCTTGCCTGAATGAATCTCATATTTTCCAAGTGTTTTCTATCCCAGTGATTGGAACTTTTATTCATTTATACCATTGTCCAAAAGGAAAATACAGGAGATTTTCCTAAGACCATCCTCTGTCTTATCGCTCATATCATATCCCCAAACATCACCAAGCCCTGCCCACTTTTACCTACTCGGTTTCTCTCCAGTTGCTCTGTTTTCTCCATATGCACTAGTGATACCTTGGCTACATGAAGACCACCAGCAGCAGCCGGGACAACCAGCACCTTGTGGAACTGCATAGAGTGCATAGAATACGTCCTCCCTTCAGTCGGCTTGGGTCAGCTTAGGTCATGGGCCACCTGGACTGACAGCAGTTTCCACAGAAATGCCTCAAGATGATAGAATAATCCAAATCTCTTTGCATGGGGCATGGTGTGGCTATCTGAGAAAATCCTGGCTTTTATAGGAAGGAGAAAGAAGAATGCTTCTTGAGGGGAAGAAACCAACAGGAATGTGCCTCAGGGAAATGTCACCAGAGGAGAGTGAGCTGTAATGAGTATTTTGGCAGATTGCATGTTTCTTGTGGTTCTTGTGTTCCTCGGCCCTGCACAGAGCTACCATTTACTCATTTGACAAATATTTGAGTAGTAGACTCCAGGGTTCAATAGTGAGCAAAAATGCACAGAATTTCTTCTCTAGTGGAGCTGAGAGTCTAACAGAAAGAGGTGATGTTAGTCACAGAATTATGTAACAAGGGAAAGTTCAGCAGACCCAGGGGTGCTGCAAGAGCCTGGGAAGGTGGACTGACCCCAAGAGGGAGGCAGGAAAGGTTGCCCCCAGGAAGCAGCACTTGAGCTAAAATCAGGGAGAAAACTAGGCAAAGACACAGCATTCAGGAGGAGGTAGAAGCTGGCCCATGAGGATGGTGGTGTGGAGAGGTGAACCAATACCCAGGTCTTGGATTTATTGTTGAGCTGCTGAATTAACCAGTGCTGGCTCTCTCCCAACCTCTGCACTTCTTGTTTTGCAAGGTTTTTTTTTTTTTATTTAAAAGCTAGTATGAGTTGGGATCTGTTGCTTTTCTGAGACCCCATCATGTGAGGTAGACAGGGGGCCTCACTGTACTCTGGGGGAGCTAAAGATGGAGAAGAGTTTTAGAGTGCCTGGAGAAGAGGCCCTTTAATAGATCATTTAAGAAGAGGGTGCTACCGCTAGACTGCCCAGATTCACTTTCTGGCTTTGTGACCTTGGGCTCTCTGTGTCTGTTTTCCAATCTGAACAATGGAATAATGATAGTATCTGCCTCTGCCTGCAAGACCCTGTCCTATCAGACCAACTACCTTTTCACTAGAACTCTCTTCCTGCACTGTACCCCAACTGGACCCTCATTAACACTTAAAATGGGCATGTTTCCCTTTTCTAGATTTTGCTCAAGACATTTCCCTCATCAGAATTAACTTTGGTCCATCTCCCTCTATTGGAATTCAACCCATTCTCCAGAAATCAGTTCAAATTTTATCACCAGAATGCCTCTCTCAATTACACCAAGCCTCTTTTATACTTTGTGCCATTTCTGCCATGATTTCTTATGTTTTCCTTTTTCACTACATATTGGTACAGGTACATATGATCTCCACTTCCACTCAAATGTGAGGTTACTGCGGGCAGTCCCTATGGGTATAGTCATATCCCAAGAGTCCTGGGCAGAGGGTCCCCCTCTTGCACCCAGGTTGGAGTGCAGTGGTGCAACCAGAGCTTACTGCAGCCTTGACCTCCTGGGTTCAAATGATCCTCTCACCTTAGCTTTTCCAGTAGGTGGTATAAAAAGGCGAGCACCACCATGCTTGGCTAATTTTCATATTTTTCGTAGAGATAGGGTTCCACCATGTTGCCTTGCTTGGTCTCAAAGTTCTGAGCTCAAGCAATCCACCTGCCTCAGCCTCTCAACATCCTGGAATGACAGCATGAGCTACCACACCTGGCCAAATGCCGAATACTTTAGTCATATATGCCTGACACTTCAGGGCGTGCAGAACTGCCTCGCTTACTTTTCTTTTGACTCAGTTTATAAATTTTCTTAATTTAAATTTTAATTTCAACATGTGTACATCTTTGAAATAAATAAAATAATCTCTTTGAATGTTTGGCATAATGTAGAAGAAATTGACAAATGGATATCTTTACTTCATTTTCCATCTCAAAATGTGGTAGAAATATGCTCCCCTAAAGTGATCCCAATTATTACATAGCCATCTTGCTGTGGTTAATGTAGAATCTTTTTGCAATATCACATGCATGACAGGGCACATCCAAAAAACATTTAAGTGAGGATAATACTAGATTCTTGAAAGTATCTAGACACTTAAGAGCAGGCAGTGATGATGTTAATTAACAGTAACAATGTCGAGGGACTGGCTTTTGCCCTTCCCTAATAAACATAAAGAGCATAGAAACTCAGCAAATTTGCTCTTATTTTCTTCATTATTTGGTTGTTGAATCAGTAAATGCTTTCCACAGGGGTCATCTTGTTAGTCATCTTGTCACTTTGCTGTGTCCCTTCTTCATCCTTGCACTTTTTCCTTTCTCCCATTTTGGAATGTATTGAGAGGAGTGTTATGTTGATGGAATGCCATGTCCTGACTTGCCATTTGATTAGAACTTCCCTCAATTTTTAACATGCTTCTTGATATGGTTTGGATTTGTGCACCCCCGCATCCCCAATCTGATGTGGAATTGTAATTGCCAGTGTTGGAGGAGAGGCTTAGTAGAAGGTGTTTGCATCATGGAGGTGGTTTCTAATGGTTTAGCCTCATCCCCCTAGTGCTGTCTGATGATAAAGTTATCCTAAGATCTGCTTGTTTAAAAAGTTAAAAAGCACCTCCCCTGACTCGTTTCAGCCATGTGAATATGTGCTTGCTTCCTTTTCACCTTCTGCCATGATTGTAAGTTTCCTGAGGCTTCCCTATAAGCATAAGTCTGTACAGCCCACAGAACTGTGAGCCAATTCAATCTCTTTTCTTTTTCAATTACCCATTCTCAGGTATGTCTTTATAGCATGTGAGACAGACTAATACACTCATCCTCAGAAAGCATTCAATTTAGCTGTGTCTAAAGGTATGCCAGCTGTCCTGGGACATTATCTTAGCCAATCATTCTTCCTCTTCAGCAAGATCTATTTGCCTATCACAGCTTGACCACACTTCCTATCATACCTGTCTGTAACAAGTAGCCTATAACATCTGGAGGGATTTCATTGAAATCACAGAGGTTCCTTGGTTCTTTACTTTATTAGCAGGCATTAGGAAAGCACATCAACTTTCTTATTTAATAAAGTGCCTGTTGCTTTGAAAAATTGCCCAAAAGAAGAAAAGAGAGGGTTACTTAAAGGTATCACTATAGGCATGGCATGCTGGTTCACACCTGTAATCCCAGTACTTTGGGAGGCTGAGGAGAGAGGATCACCTGAGTCCAGAAGTTCAATACCAGCCTAGGTGACATGGCAAAACCCCATCTCTACAAAACGAAACAAAACAAATAAAACAAAACAAAATAGAAAAAATATTCAGGCATGGTGGCATGTGCTTGTATTCCCAGTTACTCAGGAGACTGAGGTGGGAGAATCACTGAGCCCAGGGAGGTTGAGGCTGCAGTGAGCCATGATCATGCTACTCCACTCCAATCTGAGTGACAGAGCAAGACCCTGTCTCAAAAAAAAAAAAAAAAAAAAGCTATCACTATACTATCTGTAACTGTTCTTAATTAGGATAACTAGGTTTTTTCCAACAGTGGAAACTCCAAACAGACTAAATTGTTGTACATCAAGGTGAATTGTCATAGTTAATTCCTTTGCTTGCAACTGCCCAATAAATGGATGAGGACTCACTTCACCAATAAATAAGAAAGGTGAACAGCACATGGGGCCTGTAGATGCCTTTTGCAGGGCCCTCTTTTAATCTTCCTAAAGTTGCAATTTGCATATTTCTGTAGATGGGCACATCATAGAAGCTGTCATCCTAGATCAGAGCCTGGAGAGAGAGATACAAGTGTCATGCTTAAATCTGCAGAGTAGGAACAAGCCCAGAGAAATCAAGATGATTAAGCAGAGAGTTTCCATACTGGAGATAAACCAGCTGTGTAAAAAGTCATGCTTATTGAACAAAAAAGCATTGCACCGCCGAAATAACTGCTTTAACTAAGAAGTAAAGAACTGACACCCCAACAGAGCACAGAGAGCCACATAGACAGGAGCTGCATTTCAAACAAGGTCATTGCTGTTTTCCCCACTCTGAGTTAAGTGTCTCTGCTTCACCCTTCCTTACCAAAGTTCTGCTTGATCATCCTTTTGTTTTGTTTTGTTTTGTTTTGTTTTTTGTACTTCCCTTCTTTGAGAAAATATAAACCAAAATTTTACATAAAACAGGAATTCAACTTTTGACAATGTTAGCCATTGAAACAACAACAAAAAAGGTTTCTATTATTTCTCATCTCTGTGCTATCCAGTGCAGTAGCCAATAGCCACAGGTGACTATTAAAATTAAAATTAATTCAAATAAAACAAAATTTAACATTAGCTGGTCAGTTGTACTAGCCACATCTCAATTACTCAATAGCCACATGTGGCTAGTGGCTACTGAACTAGGCAGCATGAATGTAGAACATTTTCATCATCGTAATTTTCTAGGTCATGGAAAAATTACAGAACTCAATTTCCAGTGTGCACATTTATTTGCATACCTAGGAGCTTTCTGACCCTGTGTTGAGCTGCCTAACCAGCTTCCTGATTGACCTCCTGATATTTCTGCAAATGTGGACTAAGAGGCCAGGATTCCTCAGGGCCCAGGTGACTCAGGTTATTCAGAAACTATGTTTGGACTAGCAGGCCTCTACTTGATTTGGGATGCGAAATGGGACTTCTCTTCCTAATTGCTAAAATAGATTTCAAGGTTCACCTCTCATCGCGGTAAGAGTCTCATTTCCTGAGACTCTTATTTCTTTCCATGACTTATGGTATATTCTGGAGAGAGTGGATTCACACAGAAGAGCTGGCTCTGTGCTGGTTTTCCAGGGGTCAGCCCCCTTGTCAGTGACAAGCCTGCCTATCTACATGATGTACATTATGTCCCACTACTGGTAATAGAAGCTCAGCAATTGATTGACTGTTAGGTTATTTTCAAAGCTCAGTATTCACAATAATCTAACAGACACCCACACAACCACAAGGACAGACAAGGCTCTCATAACCTGCAAAAGACAAGGTGCACATTTCTTCTTTCCATCCCAGCAACAAATTGCCAAACCAGCCAGCACTTAAGTTGGGGTAAAAATTAATTAAAAGAAGAACCTACCAATGTAGATAAAAGAACAGAAAAGCTATTGCAGCTGTCTTCTCCATAACAGAGGCCTGTGATTTGAATTTTAATGTTTCAATCTACTTTCTGCTCTTGTGTTTATTTTATTATTTATTTTTTGTCACTATCTCTTATTTGTAGATACAAATTTTTCATATTTAAAAGCTATTTTAAATATAATCTTTAAAAGGAGAAACATTATTTTTTTTAATTGCACAAAATACTGAAGGTGAGATCCACTGATTGGAAAGCAAAATGGGACAATATCTCTGGAAGCAATTTTATCCAGATAAATCAATAGCTTTAAAACAATTCAAAACCTTGGACCTAATACCTCTACTTCTAGGAAGCTAGCCTATGAAGGTTTCTGCTGAAGGATGTTTATCACAGTATTATTAATAATGCGAAAAAGCCAAAGAAGAGACCTGAAATGTTTCAAAGATGAAAATGGTTTGATAAACAACATTTTTTTTAGATGGGGTCTCACTCTGTTGCTCAGACTGGGGTGCAGTGCCACGATCTCAGCTCACTGCAAAATCCTTCTCCCAGGTTCAAGCAATGCTCCTGTTTCAGCCTCCCAAGTAGCTGGGAATACAGGCACACCAACCACGCCTCACTATTTTTTTGTATTTTAGTAGAGATGGGGTTTCACCGTGTTGCCTAGGCTGGACTCAAACTCCTGAGCTCAGGCAATCCATCTGTCTCGAACTCCCAAAATGCTGGGATTACAGGCATGAGCCACCACACCTGGCAATAAGCAACATATTTAAACACTAGAATATTATGCAAACATCCCAGGCATGCTTTGGAAAAACTATTAATCCCACAAAAGATGCTTATGTTATTATACAGACTAACAGACCAAGATTCTCCAGGACACTTACTATGTTACATGTCTGAAGTACAATATAATGCCATATATAAAATGTAACCTCAACTCAGGCCCCAGTCTTTTCATCTGGAAAATTCTATTAATTATACTGCCCTTCCCCTTTTTAGGTTTTCTGTAGGAGTTAAATACAATACACTTTGTCAATTGCTTAACACCATGCTCAACACTGGTCGGGAAGATATAAATGTCAGCTATTGTACTATGTGCCAAAAAAACAAACAAAAAACCACACAGACAGACACACACACACAAAGACACACACGGAGGGAGAGGAAGTAAAGATTAAGAAGCAGCACATAATGTTACGGTAGGCAATGGGACCACTAGTGATTTTCATATCCTTTTTTATTTTCTTCTTTATACTGCTTACATTTTTCAGTGTATACAATGAGCACGTATTACTTCTGTAACCAGAAGAATGTGGTATAAACCTCACCTTAATATAATAAAACAAAATTACTGGCCAGGAACGGTGTCTCGTGCCTGTAATCCTAGCACTTTGGAAGGCTGAGACTAGTAAATCTCTTGAGCTCAAGAATTTGAAACCAGCCTGAGCAATACAGTGAGACCTTGTCTCTGCAAAAAATACAAAAATTAGCCAACCATAGTGGTATACAACTGTAGTCCTAAGTTACTTAGGAGGCTAAGGTGGGAGGGTGGCTTGAGACCAGGAGGTGGCTGCAGTGAGCTGTGATTGCACCACTGCACTCCAGCCTGGGTGAAAAAGCCAGACCCAGTCTTGTACAAAAATAAAAAAAATAAAAAAAATAAAAAGTTATTACTTAGATCCCACATGCTGTCTTGGAGCCATTGTAGTGTTGCGGGATTCAAGAGACTGGAGAGACCAATGGATGAGACAGGAGGATTTTATTAAAGTGGCCACTGGCCTAGTAGATTCGCATCCAAAAGGCTGAGCCTGGAACAAAGATGGGGCCTGGTTTTTAAGCATGCAGCTGCGTGAAACTCACAGGGTGGGCTTAGCAAGCTTACAGAAGCAGAACAAAGGCAGTTAATCAAACAGTGACAGGTGTATGACTCAAACATGCCTGGTGACCTCTGCTGGGCCGTCCAGCAGGCCCTCAGCAGATGGTTACTATTTTAGGCTTGCTCAGACATGTCTTGTGACCTTCTCAGTGTTGCACAGATGGAAAACAGGAACTTACAAAATCCTTACAAACTTACAGAAATAGTTACAAAAATAGTTATGAGAGCAGAGCAAAGACATACTGGCCTAGGAAAGAATCTCAAAGGGGGAAGCTGATAAGAAGAACTTGTTCTTCTCATCCCTGTTCCTGGAGTCCATTCCTTCTGGGCTCTGCTTGGCCTTGTATATAAAGTTAGCTTAGTCCTAGCAGGGCCTTGATGTGAGTCAGCCTGGTACAGGCAGGAATTTAGGTTTTTCTCCTTTTAATTTCGGCTTTAGTAGGCTAGGGTTCTGGTTGCCACTGCTGAGAAAGTAAAGTGTGTTCAGGCTGTCCATGGTTCTGGGCTCCCCCGGGTCTCTGAGGAGGGCTGTCCCCTCTATCACAGAGAATATCAGGACACTAGCCTGTTCCTAGTTATACTTACACACTCCTCTCATGTTGTCTATGGAGTGGAGGCTGCAGGGAGGGTGACATCCTAGTTAGTCCCAAGTGCCAGACTGCCTGAAGCTCACTGTTAACAAGTCCTGCCTTGGAGAAGAAGGAAGGTTGTCTCTGTGAATCTCCCACCTGGGCCAAAGGGAGGCCACTCTCTCCTCTGCCTCTCCCCAACCTTGGTCTTCTGCACTCCTAGTGAACCTCTCTCCCCCTGCCTACAGGCCTGGAATCTCAAGACCATGATGACCTAGTCACCCCTGAATCCAGGGCTTTCCCTTTACAAAGGGGAAACTGAGACCTGGAGCAGGGCCGATGTTCAGCCAGCCGATAAGGGAATAGCCGAATTGGTGGTAAAATACTGAAATAGTTCCAGTGTGGATGGAAAGGGGCCACTGCCCTGAACATCTCTACCCCGCCGCCTCAGCCCATCCTCCAGGACCCTGGGTCAGCACCAGGAGCATCAAAGTGGCCAGGATTGGCTGAAGCCCATGCTAATGGCTCTGCCAGCCCTTCTCCCCACCAGAGAAGGCAGGGGAAATCAGGCTATCTGGGGGTAGCACTGTGACCGTGTATGCAGTAGTCAAACCTTGTGTGCCACCATCCCTGACTTTGTTGATAAGGGCATCAGGCTACATCCCTCTGGTACTCAGTGGTAAGCATCTAAAATCTTAAAGAAAAAATTTAAAAAGCTTTCAAAATATAGGACTTAACATATGAGGCTGCACAAACATCTCTTTAGCAGTTGTCCAACTGGTGCTTCTGGTTCTGCCTCCCCAGAGAGTGGATGACCTGGGCCACCCTCCACCACTGCCCTGTAAGGCCATGGGACACACAGCCCATCGGTTCTCTTCACGTGGTCATCCCCCTTTAGATGGGAGAAAATATACCTGCCTCATTTTTGTACCTTCTGTTTGGACATTCCATGACAGAGCTTCACTAAATGTGTGATGAAGAACTGAATGAATGAATGAATGAATATGAGAGCAAATGAATGAATGGTTTAGATCCTGGGCTGGAAGTCTGTATGAGGATGGTGGGTAGAGGAGAGTGTGTTTTTCTTGCCTTTAAGTCATTACTTGTCATTTTGGGGCAGGAGCACAGGCTTTGAATGCAGACTGACTGGACTTTAATCCTGGCTTTACTAGTTGTGATTGTGTGACCTTGTACATGTTACTTAAACCCTCTGTGCCTGTTTCTTTATCTGTAAAATGGAGATAATAAGATGACAAAGGACTGTGGTAAGAATTAAATGCTTAAAAAAATCACAGTTTGTATTAAGTCCTCAATAGATTGGGTTTAGCATCATGAGTGCATGTGTTTCTGGAACAATGCTCATCTTGGGCTGGATGGTGCCTACACAGAGAAAGACTCTGGCCTCTTCTCACTCACATGTATCTGTCTTATGCCTGGTTCCCATTCCCAGATCCTTGGAAGATCCATATTGCTGAAACGGTGAAGGGTGATGGGCACCTCAGGACAACTAAGTTGCTCCCCAAACATCTTCCCCCGCCCAAACTCTCCTGTGGTCTTTAGCATTTAACAGGAATCTCTGGACACTCCAAGGGGTGATCCTCTCATGGAAGCCCAGTGGGGAGGAGGCTGCGGGAAAGGTCAGGCACTGTGCACTTCCCTGACAGCTGCAAATGGTTCTGTTTCCAAGCCCACGGGTCACTACAAATAAGGCAAGTTATATGACATAATAATGTGATTCTTTGGTGCCTCGGTCCACACTGGCACTTTAATACTCCTAGAGTGGATTGCATGGTGGTCTATCAAAAGATATGTCTACCTGGAACATGTGAATGTACCTTTATTTGGAAAACAATCTGCAGATGTAATTAAATCCAGCACCTCGAGATGAGGGCATCTCATCTTGGATTAAGATGGGCCCTAAATCCAATGACAAGTATCCTTATAAGAAAAGCGGCAGGTAGGGCACAGTGGCTCACACATATAATCCCACCACCACCACTGAGGAAGGTCAAGTTGGGAGGATCGCTTGAACTCCAGGCGTTCAAGACCTGCTGGGCAACATGGTGAGACACTGTCTCTCCAAAATGTATATAAAATATAATAGCCAGACATGATGGCACCCGCCTGCAGTCCCAGCTACCAGCTACTCAGGAGGCTGAGGTGAGACGATAGCTTGAAACTGGGAGGTTGAGGCTTCAGTGAGCTGTGATCATGACACTGCCCTCCAGTCTGGGTGGCCCCTGGCCCCTCCACAACCTGCGCTAGAAGAGCTGGGCCCTGGCTCTGGGCATCATGCAGCCTCTGAGGTGGGGCTGAGTGCCAGTTCCTGCCCTCCTGCAGCTGGGGACCAACACCCTGACTTAGGCGCTGTGGAGGCTTCTGGCCCAAGGGTCCGCACTGCTGGTGGCACTGGCAGGGTCGGAGTTTGCCACAGCTGCTGCTGCGCGCCTTGTGCAGGTTACCACTGCAGCTGAACCTACATCAGAGGCAGGCAGGGCTGGTCCCAGACAGCCTGGGGGTCTCTGAGTGCAGGGCCCTTTCACCCTAGAGTCAGCTCTTTCTTGCCGGAGCCCACAGCGGGGTGTGCAAGCGCTGGGTACAGGGCAGCAGCCAGGAAATGGCTGAGCGGCCGGCTCCCGCCCTCCTGCAGCTGGGGTCTGACCAGCTGAATTAGCCGGTGGGCGGCGTCTGGCCCTGGGATCCGCCTGGCTGGTGTAGGAGCCTGGTCTGGGGTTGCCTCCAAGGCTGCTGCGCGCGCCATGTGCAGCTGGCTGCTGCAGCTGGGCCCATCACCTGACAAGGAGTTGCCCAGACAGCCTCAGGGTCATGGAGTGGACCACTGTCCCAGCCTAGTGTACGCTCTTCTTTTGCCTGCGCCCAGAGTTCCGGGTCGCGGGCACCGGGAACTGTGCAGCCAAGGTGCTTCGGCCGAGGGCAAAGGTTGCTGCCCTGCTGCAGCTGCTGGGCTGAGTGCCTGAATTAGGCGCTGAGGCGGCGTTGTCCCCGGTGTCCTGGCTCTTAGTGGTGCAGGCAAAGTGCCCGGTTGCTCTGCTGCTGCGGCGCCCTTGTACAGGTGGCAGCTGTAGCTGAGTTCTCAGTAGACGCCGGCAGGGTTGGTCCTAGAAAGCGTGAGGATCGCCGAGTGCACCGCCCTCCCAGCCTAGGGTCCACTCTTCCTTGGCCCGAGCCCAGAGCCCGGGGTTTCAGGCGCTGGGCCCTGTGCAGCTGCCCAGAATATGCTGAGCGGCAGGTTCCCGCCCTGGCAAGGGATCCAGCCGTGGTATCCTCACTGCTGTTGGCGGCGGGCAAGGTCAGCGGGGTTTCCACCGCTGCTGCCGGGAGCCACCTGGCGGTGGTAGCTGCAGCTGAGCGCGTGGCAGAGACCGGCAGGGCTGGTCCCAGACACCCTGAGGGTCTCTGGGTGCATCGCCCTACCACCCTAGGGTCTGCTCTTCCTTAGCCTGCTCCCAGGACGCGGTGTACGAGCGCTAGACTCTGAGCAGCCTCCAGGATGGGGCTGAGCGGCGGAGTCCTGCCCTGCTGCAGCTACAGTCTGAATTAGGCGCCACCGCAGTATCTGACCCTGGGGTACGTGCTACTGGTGGCATGGACAGAGATGAGGGCTGCCACAGCTGCTATGGGGCTGAGCAGCCGATTTCCGCCCCGCTGCAGCGGGCGACCGCTGCAATCCCCAGCGCTATGGGACCGACCACCTGACTTAGATGCCTTGGAGGCATCCGGCCCTAGGGTCTTTGCTGCTGGTGTCTGAGGGCAGGGTCAGGGCTGCCACTACTACTGCCGTGCGCCATGCGCAGGTGCCAGCTGCAGCTGAGTCCCAGGCAGATGCTGTCAGGGCTGGTCTGAGGTTGCCTAAGGGTGGCTGAGTGCACCGCCCTTCCACCCCAGGGTCCGTTATTCCTAGGCCGGCGCCCAAATTGCAGGGTCGTGGGCGTTGGACACTGTGCAGCCATGAGGATCTGGTTGGGTGCAGATTCCCGCCCTCCTGCAGCTGAGAGGCCAACCTCCTAACAGGCGCCGCAGTGACCTCTGGCTCGGCGGTCCGCGCTGCTGCTGGAGCTGGCAGAGACCAGAGCTGCCACCGCTGCTGCTTCCAGGAGTGTGCAGCTGGCAGCTGCAGCTGAACCCGCAGCGGAGGCTGGAAGGGCTTATTCCAGAAGCCTTGAGGGTCCCCGAATGCACCGCCCTCCCACCCTAAGGTCCAGTCTTCCTTGCCCGCTCCCAGAGAGTGGGATTGCAGGCGCTGAGCACAGTGCAGGCGCTGGGATGGGCTAAGCTGCAAGTTTCCGCCCTCTGGCTGCTGGGGGGCCGACCGCCTGAGTTATGCGCCGCGGCGGCTTTTGGTCATGGGGTCCGCACTGCCGGTGGCTTGCACAGGGTCGGGGGCTGCCACAGCTGCTATAGTTCACCATGTGCACGTGGCAGTCGCCCCTGAGCCCACCGCTGAGGCTGCAGGGCTGGTCCGGTCTCAGACGGCCTGAGGGTCATTTGCCCGCGCCCAGATCCGGGTGGCTGGCGCTGGGCACTGTGCAGCCTCCAGGAATCCGCTGAAGGGCAGGTTCCCGCTCTCCTACAGCTGTGGGCCGACTGCCTGATTTTGGCCACTAGGTGGAGTCTGTCTCTAGGGTTTCGAGGCCGCTGGTGTCGGCGGGCGGAGTCCGGGTTTGCCACCGCTGCGCGCCATGAGCAGGTAGCAGTTGCAGCGTAGCTTTAGACAGAGGCTGGCAGGGCTGGCCCCAGACGGCCTGAGGGTCAGGGAGTGCAGGGTCCTCCCACCCTAGGTCCGCTCTTCCTTTGCCCTTACCAAGAGCGGGTTGTGCGGGCGCTGGGCTCTGTGCAGCCGCCGAGGTGGGGCTGAGCAGCGGATTTCCGCCCTGCTGCAGCTGGAGGACGATTACCTGAATTAGCCGCTGAGGCGGCATCTGGCCCTGGGTTACTGCTGCTGGTGACGCGGGCAGGGTCAGGGTTGGTTGCAGTTGGCAGCTGCTGCTAAACCCATTGCGAGCCTCAGGGTCACCAAGTTCACCGTCCTTTCATCGTAGTGTCTGATCTTTGGCCCGCGCCCAGAGTGAGGACTCGCCTGCGCTGGGGATTGCATAGCTTCTGGGGGGCGGTCAGCGCCCGTTTCACGTCCTCCTGCAGCTGCGTGGCCTAAGGTCTTAGGCGCCGCGGTGCTATCTGGCCCTGCTGTCCGTGCTGCTGGTGGCGGGGACAGGGTCGAGGGTTGCCGCTGCTGCTCCCGTGCACCATCGGCAGGTGGCAGTTGCAGCTGAGCCCACAACTGAGGCTGTTGGGGCTGCTCCCAGGTTGTCAGAGGGTCGCCGAGTTCACCGACATGCCACCCTAGGTTACGCTCTTTCTTGGCCCGCAACCAGAGCGCCGGGTTACGAGTCCTGGGCCCTGTGCAGCCACGGGGATGGTGCTGAGTGCAGGTTCCCGTCTTCCTGATATGCGGGGCGACCACTGGAATTAGCCTCTGTGGTGGTATCTGACCCTAGGGTCCGAGCTGCTGATGGCGTGGGCGGGGTCGAAGTCGCCTCTGTTGCTGTGGCGTGCCATTTGCACTGTCCTCTGGAACAGGCTGGTCTGTGCTGTGTATGGTCAGTGGAGTCTTCTCTGGGCATTCTTCACTGATATCTGCTGACATGGCTCATCTTCTCTTTGATTTTGCATGTATTGGCACTCAGTGATGAAGTTTCTGGTAACCCACTGCCATTTTCCTCTAGCCTCCAAGACCTCACATTCTGAGGCCAGCATGTCCCACCAGGGGCCTCCACTGGTCCTGTCAAACCAGGTGTGAGTCCCCCTTCCACCAAGCTTGGAGAGACTGGCTTTTCAGACAGCACTCACAGGCTGAGAGTAAGGGAGCTGATCTCTCAGGCACTTCCCCCTGTCCTGCCACTCTGTCATTCCTGGGACACCCTATGTGCACTAGAGAAGTAAGACACCAGCCTGCATATTTTCTCATCTTTCTTTAACTGTCTATTTTTTCCTATCCATCTGTTTGAGCGAGTCCCAGGAGGATGTTGGGGCTGAATACCTGATCAGAGACACAGGCAGAGCCATAGTCACATCTCCTGGGAACTTTCTTCTTCCTGTGTAGTTAAAAGCTCTTCTCTTCCTCTTCTTCATAGAAATTCCCCTTACACTAAACCTTTGACTAAAGCCATCCCCTCAGTTTGATAAAATTTTAGACAGGATTATTTCTGATTCTTGGCTCCTCACCTCTTTTTTTCTTTAGCATATTTTAGAAATGTTATCATTGTAAATTCTTTCTCTGCCTCTTTGATAAATCTTTCTAAGAGCCCACGTGCCAGTTTTACACTTCAGAAATGTCCATTTCAAGGACCTCAGAGCCATCCCTTTGAAATGTAATTCTCAAAAAAGATAACACCATTATCTCCCAGACTCCATGAGAGAGTAAGAGCCAAATTTTGGTGGGCATATTCCTCTAATTTGTAAAATCACCTTCTGTCATAAAGATAAAAGATAGTTTAATATTCCTTTGGAAAAAGACAACTATCAAAGACAAGTGGTCTATGATCTCCCCCTCATCCTGGCTCTTAAAATCTCTACTGCTGTTTGTTTCAGTGGAGCTGAGTTCAGACTAAGTTCTGGCCTCTTTGCCCTTTTGCAATAGTCTTCAATAACAGCTTTTTTATGTGTTTAACTTTGTCTGGTGCAACTGTTTTCTTTGACACTTTCCACCCTAACTAGAACTTCCATTAAAGTCATAATAGGATTCAAGGCAGCCAAACTTGACTCACATACGTAAAAAAACTTGTTAGGATTTAGAAACCCATATTCTCTTCAATAAATTGTTTCTTCAGACTGTTGCCTTATTAAAAGTTTCTAGTTCTTATTTTGGCATTGAAAAGGAGAATACCAATTTTTAAATAAGTCTCTGCTCACTTTTAATTTCTGCTATCACAATTTTATTGCTTTCCACGGCTGAACAATGAGAAGACCAGAACACAATTTTAAGTTAAATTTTATTTAATTTTTACTATTACAATTTTATTGCTTTCTCTGACTGAAAAGAGAAAACTCAAACAAAGTAGTCTAGTCTATGAAGTGGACTAGAACAAAGAATCATGTCTCATTAATACATTTCAGAAAGTTACCTCCATTTAACATCAATGGTGTCATTTAATATTCTTAACTTTCCTATCAAGTAGATGCTATTATTACCTCTATTTTATAGGATATTAAGTCTTATATATTATACATAACCAGCTGAAGGTCATGTAGCATGTAGATATGATAGGCATACAAAGAAGCAATGACATTAGAAGCAGAGGAGGGAGAAGGATTAAAAGGCTATACCTAGGTCGGTTAAGAGAAAAAGAAAAACTAGGAGGAGACAAATTCTTGTTAGAAAAAAATAATGATCGAGGCAGAGCAAGACAGTGGTGCAGACCTCTCCAGCTATCATACCCCTATAGAAACATCAATATGAACAACTGTCCACATGTGAAATTACCATTACAAGAGCCAACAGAACCTCAATACATGAACAAGGTTATGAAGCACCTTTGGCCTGTGAAGATGGGTAAAACCATGGCTTACAGAGTGAGAGAACCAATACTCTGTGACTGTGATACTCCTCCCTCAGGCCATTATGGTACCATCTGCAGAAACTCCCATAGGGCTTATAGTTTTTACACTGAAAAAAGTCAGCAGGAGGTTGATATTTGTTTTTTCCACTATACTGAGTGCCTTCACAGTAGACTCACTCCTGTATCAGCCCACAAGTGGCACCATGAGTGCCAAAAGGGATGAACCACCTGAGGCATGTTAAGGACATAAGAGGAGGTGGGGCCAGCAACAGCCACCATGTGAAACATAATACACAGACTACACGCTTGACGGCCTGACTTGTTCTCCCCCATAGCCAGGGGCTCCCTGTGGATCACCCATGGGCCCATCCAGCAAATGTTGCAGCAGTGGTGGAGCCATTGGAAGACTTATGTCTAACGTGGGATTTGGACTCTCTCTAATGCTAAAATGGAATACGATGGTAAGTCCGCTCAACATTTCCTAATAAGCCCACTTAAAAGTAGTCACAAACAAACCCAGACTGAGAAGACACAAATAAATATCTAATTCATCAATGTTTAGACAGAGATGTATATCTACATATAATAATGATAGCTTAGGAAAAGTTGCCTCTCCAAATGGACAAAACAAGGTGTCAGCAACTGAACTTAAAGACATACAGATGAATGATCCGGCAGGCAAAGAATTCAAAATGGCTGTTTTAAGAAGAGCCTGAACACTGAGAAAGCAGAGACATAATTCAGAAATTTACCAGAGAAATTCAACAAAGAAATCAAAATAATGGGAAAAATCACATGTAAATCCTGAAGCAGGAAAGTTCAATTAACACATTGAAAATCCAACGGAAGGCATCAACAGAAGAACTGATCAAGCAGAAGAAAGAAACAGTGAGCTCAAAGACAGGCTCTTTGAAAATACATGGTCAGAGTAGAATGAAAAAAAGAATGAAAAGAAACAAAGAAAGTTTATGAGATTTGTGGGACACCAACAAAAGAGCAAATCTACATATCATTGGTGTTAAAGGGGAACTAAGAATGAAAAGGAGATAGTTTATTCAAAGAAATAACAGAAAACTTTTTAAACCTGGAGAAAGATTAAAATGTTTAGGATGGTCAAAGTGCCCAATCATATTTAATCTGAATAAGACAACCAAAGACATTTTATAATTAAACTCTCAAATGTCAAACACAAAGAGAAGACCCTGAAAGGACTAAGAAAAGGGAAACAACACATAAGAGAATTCCAATATGCCTGGCAGCAGACTTCTCAGCAGAAGCACTACAGGCCAGGAGAGAGTAGGATAATAGATTCAAGTGCTGAATTAAAAAAACTGTCAACCATGAATAAAGTATCCAGCATAGCTATCATTTAGAAATAAAGGAGAGATTGAAACATTCTCAGACAAACAAAAAGCAAAGGAATTCATTGTAATCAAACCAGCCTTACAAGAAACGCTAAATATTGTTCTCCAAACTGAAAGAAAATGGCAGCAATATGTAACACAAAAAATCTGAAGGTATAAACCCACAGGTAGAAGTGAGGATTCAGACAAATTTGGAATGCTCTAATATGGTAATAATTGGATGTAAAGCACTTATATATCCTTAGTAGGAAGGTTAAAAAACAATACAAATAAAATAATAATAATTACAATAATTTGTTAAGGAATAGCAATATACAAAGATGTAAATTAAGACATCAAAAATGCAAAATGTGAGGGAGTGATGGAGTTAAAGAGTAGAGTGGTTTCTTTTCCCCTCTTTTTGAATCAAAATTAAGTTGCTATCTCTTTAAAATAACTTATTGTAACCACAAAATGTTCTTTGCATGCCTTGTGGTAACCACAAAGCAAAAACTTTTAAAAGATACTCTAAAAATTAAAAAAAAAAAAAAACCGAAACACACTGATAGAGTAAAGCACTTAATCACAAAGGAAGATAGAGAAATCAATCAATCAAAGTACAAATTAAAAAAAACATGAAAACAAGTAATAATATGGCAGAACCAAGTCCTTGCCTATCAATAATTATCTTGTATGTAAATGGATTATCCCATTTAAGACATATAATGGCTACACTGATTAAAAACAAGACCTAACTATAAACTTTCTACAGGAAATTCACTTCATCTGTAAATACACACATAAATTGAAAGTGATCAGATGGAAAAATATATTTTATAAATATGGAAACCGAAAGAAAGCCAGTATAGATATATTTATATCAGATAACATATACTTCAAACAAAATCCTATAAAAACAGACAAATACAGCCATTATATAATGATAAAGGGATCAATATCACAAGATAATATAATTGTAAATATATATGCCCTCTATATTGAAGGACCTAAATATATAAAACAAATGTTAATAGATCTAACAGGAGAAACAGCAAGCAATAAAATAATAGTAACATTCTACTTTCAGCAATAAACAGATTATCAAGACATAAAATCAACAAAGAAACATCATATTTAAAGTGAACTCTAGACCAAATAACTTAGCAGTCATTTACAGAACATGTTATCCAACAATTGCATAATTCACAGTCTTCTCTACTGCGCATGGAACATTTTCCATGATAGATCATATACTAGGCACAAAATGAGCCTTAGCAAATTCAAAAAAAAATCAAAATTATATCACATCTTTTCTGACAATATAGAATAAAACTAGAAATAAACAACAAGAACTTCAGAAATTGTGCAAATACATACAAAATTAAACAACGTGCCCCTAAACAAACAATGGGTTAAAAAATAAATTTTGTTTCATTTTAAAAATTCTTAAGACAAATGAAAATGAAATCAGAACATATAAAAACTTACGAAATACAGCAGAAAAAGTCCTCAGAGGGAAGTTTGTAGAAATAAATTTCTATATGAAAGAAAGAAAACTCTCATTAATAATTTAAGAATGCATTTCAAGGAATTATAGAAACGTGAACAAACTTAGCCCCAAATTGGTAAAAGAATATAGATAATGAAGACCAGAGCACAAATAAACAAAATGGAGACAAAAATATGAAAGATCAATGAAATAAAAAGTTATTTTTTGAAAAGATAAACGCAATTGATATATCTTTAGTCAGATTAAGAAAAAAGAGAGAAGATTCACATAAATAAAATGAGAGATGAAAAAAGACATTAAAATGGTTACTACAGAAATACAAAGAATCATGAGAAAGTACTAAAATTATATGCCAATAAATTAGAAAACCTAGAAGAAATAAATACGTTTCTGAACACATATAACCTATCAAAATTGAAGAATTAAGAAATACAAAATGCGAACAGACCAATAACAAATAAAGAGATTGAAGCATTGTCTCTCAATACAAGAAAATCTGGAGGGCTGGCACAGTGTCTCACACATGTCATCTCACACTTTGGAGGCCAAGGCAGGAGGATTACTTGAAGCCAGAATTTCCAGATTAGCCTGGGGAACATAGTGAGACCCAGTCTTTACAAAAATAAAAATAAAAATTATCCAGGTTTAGTGGTGTGCACTTGCAGTCCTAACAACTTGGGAGGCTGAGGCAGGAGGATCACTTAAGACCAGGAATTTGAGGCTGCAGTGAGCTATGATTGCACCACTGTACTCCAGCCTGAGTGACAAAGAAAGACCATGTCTCTAAACCAAAAATATTTAAGAAGAAGAAGAAAAAGAAAGAAAGAAAGAAAGAAAGAAAGAAAGAGGAAGAAAAGAGAGACAGAGGGAGGGAGGGAGGGAGGAAGGAAGGAAGGGAGGGAAGGAGAAGAAAATAAAAATCGAGGATCCAATGCTTATACTGCTGAATTCTTCAAAACATTTAAAGAGGAACATATACTAATTATTTACAAACTGTTCCAAAAAAAGTGAAAAGGAGGAAACTCTTCCAAACTCATTCTATGAAGACAGAATTACCTTATTCCAAAATGCGACAAGAACAGTGAAAAACTAAACTACAGGCCAATATCAGTGATGAACATAAATGCAAAAATTCAAAACCAGCAATGCTAGCAATCATAATTTGAAAGCACATTAAAAAGATGATTCACCATAATCAGGCTGTATTTGTTCCAGGGAGGCAAGGAGGGCTTATGATATATAAATCAATAAATGTGATACACCACATTCGATAAGGTAAGATAAAAATCATATAATCATTTAAATAGATACAGAAAAAGCATTTGACAAAATTCAATGTTTTTTGTAAACATAAGATCTCTTAACAAATCAGTTATAAAAAGAGTATAACTCAATAAAATAAAGACCATATGTGATAACCCACAGCCAACATGATACTGAATAAGGAAAAATTGAAAACTGTGTCTCTAAGATCAAGAACAAGACAAGGATGTTCACTTTAATAACTTCTCTTCAACATAGCACTGGAAGTCCTAGCTAGAGCAATTAGAAAAGAGAAAGAAAAGACATCCAAATTGAAAAACAAAAAGAAAGTCAAATTGTCCCTGTTTGCAGATGACATAGATCATGTCATATGTATAAAAGACCCTATACTGAAAAACAGAAACAGTAAATGAATACAGTAAAGTTTTAGAATACAAAATCAGCATAGAAAAATCAGATGCATTTCTATACCCAACAGCATACTATCTGAAAAAGGAATCCCCATTGAAAATAGCTATAAAAAAAATGCCTGGCAAAATAAAGACGTCTAAAATGAAAACTATAAAACATTGATAAAAATCAATTGAAAAGATACAAGTAAAGACAAGGTTATCCCATTTTTTGAATTAGAAGTGTTAATACTGTTAAAATGACCATCATACTCAAATCAATCTATAGGTCCAATACAATCTCTAACCAATTTCCAATGTAATTCTTCACGTTCTGCGGATGTTAAAAAGATTTTTAAAACCGTTTTTTTGGTTCTGCAGGCGAAGGCTGTGGCCGCGCTCCCGCCGGCCAGTTCCCAGCAGCAGCTCATCGCCCCTGCTCCGCGCCTTCGCTCCAGGCCCGCACGGTCGCAGCCCCGCGAGAATCAGCACTGAGCCGGTCCCGCCGCCGCCGCCCCAGTGTCGGGCTGCTGCTGCGGGAAGCCAATCGCCCACCGCCTGGAGGAGGGCGACGAGGCCTTCCGCGCGAGCAAGTACCAGAAAGCGCCGGGCTCTTCCGCTCCATGCTGGCCCTGCTGGCGCAGCCCGACCGCGGCCGGTGCCTGAGGCTGGGGGACGCGCTGGCCCGCGCCGGCCGCCTCCCGGTGGCCCTGGGCGCGTTCCATGTAGCCGGGAGGTTGGAGGCGCTGAGTCCGGAGGAGCTGGGGGAGCTGGCGGGCGGCCTGGTGTGTCCCGGCCTGCGCGAACGGCCACTGTTGGCGGGGAAGCCTGGCGGCGAGCTCAGGGCTAGGGAGGGCCGGCCCTGGCGCCCGGCGCGCCCCGCGACCTGCTTGGCTGCCCACGGCTGCTGCACAAGCCTGTGACGCTGCCCTGCGGGCTCACGGTCTGTGAGCGCTAAGTGGAGCTGGGGCCCGCGCGGCCACAGGCGCGGGCGCGTGAACGTGGTGCTGAGCCGCCTGCTGGAGAGGTGCTTCCCGGCCGAGTGCCTGCTGCGCAGGCTGGAGGGTCAGGCGCGGATCCTGCAGCGCCAGCAGCAGCCCGAGGCCGCGCTGCTCAGGTGCGACCAGGCCCTGGAGCTGTGACTTGGCTGTGGGGCTGGCCCGCCTCCCTGGCCCCTGTCAAGCCGAGCGGCTGGAGCTAACCCGCGGGCCTGGGCTTTTGAGCGCTTTGTCCAGGCGTAGGGGGTCACTTTGCTTACTAATGATGGGAAGGTGAAAGGTGGGGGAGGCCACTCCCTGCAGTCAGGGTGGCAGGTGTCAGAGGCCACATGCAACCCACTGGTTTTGTCTTTTCTAGGATGCTGATAAGTTTCCCGCGGCCCCCGGAGCAGCTCTGTAAGGCCCTGTAGTTGCCTTTCATTCCCTTCTGCTCTATTGAGGAGTGGGAGGATGACAAAGTGTTTTTGCTCAACCCGAAGGAAAATGCACATGGGAGGACACACCGGGTTACTATTTGAGTAGCCCAGGCAAGAGACCAGCGGCTGCTTCAGCCATGAGACCACCTCAGGCCAAAATAGCCTTGTGGTTGTTTTACTTCTTTTCACCAAATGGGTCTTTTTGGGGTTTGTGGCATGTCCCATGTAATGATGATCTCTTGGTTCCCCTTTCTCATTCACACCCGGGAGCTGAGGTGGGGTGGGGGAGTGGGGGGGGGAAGGGGAGTGGCCACCTGCGCCAGGTATGAGAGAAGCCACACCTGAGACCAGCCCCTCTGTCCTCCTGCCTCTGCATGCAGCGTCCCTGCAGGAGGCAGAAGGGGTGAAAAGTAGCCTCGATGTGAAAGTCCTTGTGTGTCCCTGAGGGGGGAAGTAAGTCACAGTCGGGACACTGGTTCCTGTCACTGGGTGCAGCACAAAGAAGGACCCCAGGACATGCGGTGCAGACGGGAGCACAGAGAGGGTGAGTGCTACTGGGGTGCACAGGCAGCTTGAGGAGGATGGAGATGGCAAACTTCCCTTTGTCACACCAGGTCCACGTTCAGGGCCGGAGGACCACCAGATCCCCAAAGCCTCCGGTGCTTCCGAGGCAGAGGAGAGGCAAAGCCGGTGGCCCCCGGCGTCCAGGGACCTGGCAGCCACCACTGAGGCCCACCTGCTTGTCCCTCAGCCGGGTGCCCACTGGCAGCCACACTCCAGGTCTCTGGGCTCTGCCCAGGACGTGTGTTTGGGCTTCTCTCCCCAGCAGAAGTCATCAGCGTACCCTCTGCATCCCACGGATTTGCTTTGTTTCTGAGGGAATAATTAAGGAATGTTAGTATGATATCAGAAAATAGCTAATTATGGTGAAGAGCTAACAGGGCAATCTGGGAAGCTGTGGAGCTCTAGTTAGTGATGACAGAAGAGGAACATATTTGACTGTTTTGTGCTACACCCAGGTTCTCAGGAGGTGGCCAGGGAGGAGACTTGGCACTGTGCCATGCTCAGAGCCCCTAGTCCCAGGGACTGTTTCCCTGTGGGAGTTTGGATGAGAGGCAGTTGGCTGGGAAGCTCAGGATGGAGTGAGGAAGGAGAACGACTTGAGGTGCTTGGGTTGGAAAGATCTAGTACCCCAGGAGGGACTGGCTGTGGCCTGCACACACCCCAAACTCACACACTCTGTCATGCTCACACAGACACGCACACACACTCATGGACCCAAGCTCACACACCACACTCACATGGCTTATTCACACACTTACACACATTAACACACATATGCACTCATATTTACACATCCGCACACAGTTATATTCCACATACACACTCATACTGCCAAGTTCAAACACCACTATCACACATTTCTTCACAAACATTCACACAACTCACATACACACTCTCACACACGTACACACTCACCTACCCACTCTCCATTACACACATTTACCTGTCCGTTCTCACACACATGCACAAACACAAAGCCAAATTAGAGCCATTTTCCTGGTCCCACACAAACAAAAATGATACCTCAGTTTCTTGATCTTGACCAGAATTGGGCACATGATTCCATCCAACCACAAGGTGGGGCGGGAATGAAATCCTATCACGTCCTCAGGCCGTGGAGAAAAAAAACTATGTCAGGCCTCTCTAATGCCTCCCACAAATGGGCAGGAGGGATTGAAACAGAAAAGGGGTTCCTCCTGACATGTGGCATTGATGGAGCCCGGTTCTGCCTCATGCCAAGCCCTGCCTTGCCCCTCGATGATGGAAAATGGTTGTGTGTCTTGTTTCCTGGCCTCCATCTCTGTCTTGGTACAGAGTAGAGACTTGAGTCTCAGTTCCAAAGACAGGAGTCCCGCTGAGCTGACCCGCCCACTGACAGATGAAGTCTTGCCATCTGCTGACCAAGTTCCCCAAGGCCCCTTGAGACTCAACTTCTGAAGAGGGTCTGCTCAGAATTCCCCGTCCCCATGATCTGCCCGGCTGTCGGGACACTGGTGAGCCTGCTCAGTGGGGAGTCCCTTTTCAGCTCAGTCAGCAAGTGGCTCTTCTCTATAAAGAGGCAGGGGATGAACCTCCTCTCTAGTTTTAGCAGAAGAGGCCATGAGACCCATGGCAGAGGCCAGAGCTGTGCAGGCTGTAGGAGGTACCACGTCAGGGATTTCAAATGGAGGAAGGTACTTTCCAGAGAGTACTGCAGGGAACCAAGCCATATCCACCGTAGCTGCAATAAAAACTCTGAGGCTCAGCTTAAACTCAATCCTAGAAATGATGTCCCAGCACAAACTTTGCAGGATAAGCAAAATCTAGAGAAGAGAAAATGCAGACCCAGGCAACGATAAACACAAGTCATCGGGACCACCACGGAGCAGATACAGTGCCTTCTCCACGTGCGGTGAATGAGGTTCTCACGTCTGTTAGTGTGTGGAATTGAACATCAATATCAGAATCATTCTGTGTTACCTACAACTGGTTTTATGTTGTTATGCCTGTCTCCTGATGACTGTGTATCTTTAGCCAACCTTTTCACCCCAAAGCTCCTGCCCCAACCCCTCCTCCTGGAAGTGCCCATCTCTGGTCTCGGCAGGAGGCTGTTCTTCCCAGCCTGTGGGGTGGCCACCTTGCAGGCTGTAACCCTCTACAAGAAATAAAGTCTTCTCTCCTTTTCTAAATTTCGATATTTGCTTAATCCTTAGCTTCTATTTTTTCAAGCTTTTAAACTGCTTTTAGGTCATGGCCTCTTCTCTGTAGGGTCTGGAGGCTGAGAGATGTCCAGCAGGAAAGAACTGCTAACTAATTCCAGTAGCACTGCTCTTCTGCCTAACGGAGGTGTTTAAATGTTGATTTTGGCAAAATCTATGAGCAGGTTGCTCCCCCTCTCCCGAGATCTCTCACAATACTTTGTAAAACCCAATTTAGCGCATTGTCTGGGAGGGCAGCTTTTACTGGTTCTGCAGCGATCTTCCTTACTCATAATCTATTGAAATATTGTAAAGCGATGCAGATTTGTGGCATGTGAGGAGAGCATGTAGACACACACTCCGCTGTGATTCAAAGTGCCCTAACACCTTCCTCTCCCCTACAGGCTGTGATAGGAGGGTGCTCTGGGTCACTGAGGAAGGGGAGTCATAAAGGAGCAGAGGCCCCCCGTCGTGAGTGCCATCTCTCCTTGAGTGTGGCCTCTTGTTCTAGCCCACAGGCCCACCATGCCCTGACTAAATGCTCGCACTGCTCATACATCCACTTTTAAAAATTGAGTTGAACATGAGAACATGATCATTCATATTTTATCCATTTGCATGTATTCAATACCATCCTTTCCTCATCTCTGCTTTACCGCCTTTTCCTTTAAAGAATGAATGTTTCCATGTTTTATATCCACAGAATTTCTGGTCTTTCCCTTTGGAGCCCAAGGAGCAAGGGCAGAATGAGGAACATGATGTTCCTTACAGACAGTTACTCATGAGGCCACAGCACAGAAACTGCAAGAAATGTCAGTCATGAAGTGTCCCAGTGCATTTTAAATTGATGGTTATTAAAATCCTTCTTTATCTATAGGGGATCTAAAAAAATTAAACAACTCATAATTTAAACACAGTTGCCAGGTAACCTGAGTCAAAAATCAGGAGAGGCTCCGTGGTCTGAAGTCTCCTAGTGCTCACCTTGGTGACGTTCTAGTTGCCTAACGGGTTGGTGTAATGACGTCATTCAACACAAGCAAAACACAACTCCCTTGGAGTTGTTCAAAAAATCAGGAAATAGAAAAAAAAATAAGGGAGAATAAAATATTGACAGGAGAGAAAAATGAAGAGTTACTTGGAGATTTGAAGGAGGTGAAATGGGCAAAAAGTAAATTTAGCAATTAGAATTTAAAGTCAGTGGATAATTAAGTCGAATAATTTATTCTTATGTCCATGTATTTTGGTTTTAAAGTTTTGATTAATACTCACTCAACACTAATTTCTAACAAATTAGAATATTCCCATATTGACTATTTTTACCAGTGAGCTTGTAATAAAGATCCACCAGTAATTTTAGTACACCATAACCTTTCAAAAGAAGCCCATAGAATAAACTAATTTTTAAAGAGCCACATTTTATTCAATGTCTATTTATACATGTTACTAGCAATAAACTCTTTTATCTTTAATTTTGAGAAGCTTTGCAAATACAGAAAAGTAGAATGACTAATAGAGCCGGTAGCCAGGACTCAGATCGGAAAAATAGGTCTAATCGGTTGTTACACTGTGTTTATGTCATACATTTCACTTATTTTTATCAAATAAAAATTAGAATTTATAAAATGTCGATTAAAAGGAAAACATTCTGACTAAAGTTTAGTCCTGTGTTTCTTCCTCCAAATCTCTTTGTTCTACACTAACAAGTCAGGATAAGTATGGATGGGGAGGCTGGAAAAGGGGCATCCTTCCCCATGAGGTCCCCAGAGCCACCTTCTCCAAGCAGAACTTGGGGAACATCCTTCTCCATCCAGGACCTAGGGGGCATCTTTTCTCCATCCAGGACCTGAGGGGTGTCCTTCTCCACCCAGGACTTGGGAGGTGTCTTATCCACCCAGGACTTGAAGGGGATCCTATTCCATTCAGGAGTGGGGGAAATTCTTCTTCATCTGGACTTTGGAGGCATCCTTCTCCATTTAGGACTTGGGGGGCATCCTTCTCTATCCAGGACTGGGGTTTGTCCTTCTCCATATAGGACTTGGGGGGCATCCTTCTCCATCCAGGACTGGGGTTTGTCCTTCTCCATATAGGACTTGGGGGGCATCCTTCTCTATCCAGGACTGGGGGGTTATCCTTCTCCATTCAGGACTGGGTTTGTCCTTCTCCATGTAGAACTAGGGGGCATCCTTCTCCATTCAGGAATTGGGGAGCATCCTTCTCCATCCAGGACTTGGGGGACATCTTTTTCCATCCAGTAACTAGGGGGCATCCTTCTCCATCCAGGACTGAGGGGGGCATCCTTCTCCATCCAGGACTTGGACGACCATCTTTCTCTATCGAGGACTTGGGGGACCATCCTTCTCCATCCAGGACTCAGGGGACATCATTCTCCATCTAGTAACTAGGGGGCATCCTTCTCCATCAAGGACTAGGGGGCATCCTTTTCCATCCAGGACTGGGGGGCATCCTTCTCCATCCCAGAATTGGAGGGCATCTTTCTCTATCCAGTATTGGGGGTCATCCTCCTCCATCCAGGACCTAAGGGGTGTCCTTTTCTGCGCTTCCATGGATGGCAGCCTTGCCTGTGCAGTCATTCAGAAAGTCAGGCTGACACATGTTGTCGTCTTGAACTCTGGCATCTCATCTCTATTCTAGGTGAATGCCTTCATGTTTATAGTGATTTACCATTAAATCACTGTGCTGTTTTTCCCTAAAATATATGGGGCGTGTTTTTTGTTCTGACTTCTTTTAGTCCTTTGGTCCCTATCTCCGGGTTTTTGTAATTTCTTTTGCAACCTAATATGGGTCCCATTTGGTAAGTATTACATATACTAGAAAGTGATGTACATTCAGCATTTGTTGTGATTTAAAACCTTTTATAAACACATAACATCTTTGTCTATTTCCCATTTAAATTCAGAAGTATGAGTTCCAGTGTCCCTCTCTAGACCTGCTCTATCCTGTTAGTTTCTTTGTATGTCCTGGAGGTGAGGCCAGCATTGGACTTGACGTTGGTTCACCTACCCGGTTCTATGGTCCCTCCATGTGCAGTGTCAATCTTGTTGTTTATTATTTCTTCCTTAAATTTTATTTAAACTAAAATTAATTTTGTGATAGCAGCTTGCTTTCTGTGAATATTTACTTAAAATTTTTATAAAATATTTAATTTTTAATTTCTTTAATTTGAAAGTGCTGCTTAGTTATTGATAATTTTGTATTTTAATATATGAGGTTAATCCCTCTATGTTTGGTAGGAAAAAGTGATATATTTGAACTTATTTCTATCATTTGATTTTTGGATTTTGTATTTGCAAAGCTTTATCCTCAATTCTCTTTTCCTTTTTTCAGATTTCTTTTCTTTTCTTCTTTTTTTTGGGGGACAGAGTTTCGCTCCTGTTGCCAAGGCTGGAGTGCAATGGGGAGATCTTGGCTCACGACAACCTCTGCCTCTCGGGTTCAAGCAATTCTTCTACGACAGCCTCCAAGTAGCTGGGGTTACAGGCATGCACCACCATACCCAGCTAATTTTGTATTTTTAGTACAGACAGAGTTTCTCCATGTTGGTCAGGCTGGTCTCGAACTCCCAACCTCAGGTGATCCACCCATCTTGGCCTCCCAAAGTGCTGGGATTACAGGCATGAGCCACTGCGCCCGGACTTCCAGATTTATTTTCAATCAATGTTTCATTTTCCACTTCCTTCCTATGCTGGCTTGTAGGTTTTCCAGGCTATTTACCTTTATTTGGTGTCAAAAATTCTTTTGGGAACTTTTGAGTTGTCAACCAATAGTTGTAAGCATATTGGATATTGCTGTTTTTCTCCCAGTGCTCTGGTTATAATCTCTCCTATTAATACCTTGTAGTCTTATTGTTGTAGTTTTTTTTCTATTAATTTCTGAGATATAAGAATTAGAATTGTCAAATTGTGGATTTATGCATTTATCATTTTAATTCAATAACTTTTGCTTCATGTATTTTGTTATTTTTCTTAGGTGTATGCATGCTTATGCTTATTAGGTTTTCTAAGCAAATGGACTTATTAGTATAAAACATCCTTCTTTATCCCTGGTGAAGCTTGTCTTTCTTGTAGTCTGTCTTATCTGCCATTAATACACTGGCTGCAGTTTTTGATAACAAAGATTTGCATAGTGTATATTTGTCCATCTTTTCAGTTCAAATCTATTTATATCTTTATCTCATAAGTGTATTTCGTTTTAAAAGTGGTTATTGAGGTTTCCTTTTTACTTATTTTGACAGTCTCTGTTCCGCCTTCCTCATCTTCTTCTGGATTATGGTAGTTTTGGTTTGTTTGTTTGTTTTATGGGGTTTTCTTTTTGTTTTTTTTTAGTATGGATTTTGTACCTTGTTTTTTTTTTAACTATGACTCTTTGTTTCATTTATTTATTTTTGGTGAGTTGTTCAGAAATTAAAATATAAATACTTAATGTATATTAAATATCATAACACTGTATATAAAATATAAAAACCTTACCTTACCATCCTCTCATCTTTTGTGCCATGTTGTCATAGATTTTTCTTTTGTACATGTTGTAATTCCTGGAGGATGTCATTAAAACAGTAATTTCCCCTCCACATATTTACTATTTTTGGCACACTTTCATCTTTTCTGTGAAGTAGAATTTCCAACTGTTATTTTTCTTCATCCTGAACAAGTTTATTTATTGGGGTTTGGGTGTGATGGCAACACGGTCTCTCAGACTTTCTTTAACTGAAAATACTGGGTATATACCCAAAGGACTATAAATCATGCTGCTATAAAGACACATGCACACGTATGTTTATTGCGGCACTATTCACGATAGCAAAGACTTGGAACCAACAATGTCCAACAATGATAGACTGAATTAAGAAAATGTGGCACATATACACCATGGAATGCTATGCAGCCATAAAAAATGATGAGTTCATGTCCTTTGTAGGGACATGGATGAAATTGGAAATCATCATTCTCAGCAAACTATCGCAAGAACAAAAAATCAAACACCGCATATTCTCACTCATAGGTGGGAATTGAACAATGAGAACACATGGACACAGGAAGGGGAACATCACACTCTGGGGACTGTTGTGGGGTGGGGGGAGGGTGGAGGGTTAGCATTGGGAGATATACCTAATGCTAGATGACGGGTTAGTGGGTGCAGCGCACCAGCATGGCACATGTATACATATGTAACTAACCTGCACATTGTGCACATGTACCCTAAAACTTAAAGTATAATAATAATAAAAAAAAAAAGAAAATGTACTTTTCTCAACTTCAGTTCTGAAGGCTGCTTCAGCAGGTTCAGAATTCTAGGGACACTTTCGACTTAGAATAGCATGAAGTCTCTGCTTAGCAATGATCTGGGCACCATCGAACATATTACTATATCCAGCTGTGTCAAATCTGTCATCGGCCATAGAACGCTTTGACAGGTGCTTCTTGTTGCTTAAGTTCTAAGTATTTCATAGTCTTCAGAGACATGGAGAAGTAGCAGTGCTAGTAACAGTACCAGTAAAACCAGGTTAAGCCCTAAAATAATTAAGAAGCCATTGCATGCACACACGTGAACGTTTGACTTCAGCTACAATGCTTTCAAATGTACTATTTTAACTTTATACAAGGTCATAACACAAATTAAAATTTTAAAAATACTTTCACTTTACATATGTGAAAACTGCAGCTCAAAGAATTTAAAAGACGTGACTGAAATCCCATAACTAGGTAAAGATGGTCTAATCTGGAGCCCGCATGTCTTGGTCCCCCCACGCCCTGTTACAGAGAGTGCGAGGCTTCACCAGGAAGCTCTTTTGGCTCAAGGATTAGCTCTGGGGAGGTGCAGCAGGCAGGCCTGCTTTGCATCCTCTTTACAGCAGAAATCCAATGTTTGTTCATGTTTCTAGTTCTTTTTGTTTTGTTTTGTTTCTTACCAGCATGGCTCTGGGAGTTATTTACACAATTCAATTTTAAAAGAGACAGTCCCCATCATTAGGATTCCTTGGAAACTTATGCAAAAAATAAATAAATAAATACTGATAGATGAGCAACTTCTGCAAAATTGTGATATGTGTAATATATCTAATTGTAATGAAAGAAACATGTGTATCACAGTAATAATTTAATTTATTACTGTCATTTTCTTGCCAGATTTGAGGGCAATTTTTTTAAGCTCTCCACATGTGGTTTACTGTGGACCAAACACTGGCAGCTTCAGGCTTACAATCTGCTGACAAACCCTTCTCAGTTCCTTCATTTGAAAAATGTGAGCATGCACTGCTCATGTGCCTGGCAAGCACGTAACTCACTCAGGAGAAGGACAGTGGCCACTCAGGTCATCAGGTGAACTTGTGACGAGGCCATCAAGAGGCTGCACGTGAGCTCCAGAAAATGAAATTCCCACTATCAACCTATTCCCCATTTCCACCCAATGCCCCCGCCCCTGCTCCAAAGCAAAGTCTCCACCTCTTAGGAATGCTTGATTTTCAGTATTGCTGAACAGGGGTCAAAGAAAACAAACTGAACAAAGACACAAATGAAGCCTTTAACACAGGGAGCAAAGACACAGCACCTCCCCACTCCACAACAGCTCCAGAGCTGCACAGCTGCTGCCAGAGCCTGAGCACAGGCTGAGCTCTGGCCCGTGGATCTCACCAATGCCTTTCTTCCCTCTGTGTCAAAAAAAGTATCCATAAATGGGATTCATTTACTCGGGACATAAAATAATGTATACCTACAGTTTCGTCCCAGAACTGTGTAAACCGGCATGCTGTCTGCCACAATACAGTCCTCACCCTGCATCAGGAGCTCAGATGGGGGAAGCTGGCAGGGCTGGAAGCCTGTGAGTCACAGGTGCTTGGAGGAGACAGAAAAGCACCACAGAGAGCCAGGCCCTGCCTACAAGTCACATGTTTAGGGGTCTGGTTGTCTGGGCAGGCTGGGAGATGCTCTCTAAAGGAAACGCAAGAAATATTGCCCCACATCTCCCACCACCAAACAGAAAGTGCAGGTGGTCAGCCCCAGGGCTCACCTGCTCTTTGCCAGGGTCACGAGTCAGACCCAGGCTGCGCCCTCCACACAATCCTCAAGGGGACTTCCTGCCAGGCTGGGACAACTGCACGGGGCCCTGATGCCCTGGGAAGGACAGGGTTGCATTTAACAGAAACAGCTAAACCTGAAGGGATGAGCTTGCCTTTCCCCGGGGCCATGGGATGGTTTATAGAAAGTTCTACCCATCAGGACAAGACCTCACATGACACCATCAGAGGAACTGATTTCACACCACAGAGGGAGGAAGAGGGCACATGCCATAGGTCTGCTGGTCACAGCACACACACACTCCTGGGAGCTTCAGACCCAGCAGTGGTGGCTCAGGTGCCAGGTCAGGATGTGGGAGGACACAGTGTCTGGGTGAATCTGTCACCTTTGCTAGCTGCCTTGTCCCACCAGGTAGAAGATGTGGCAATGGGAGCACAGCAGTAGGAAGCCCAGTGTCCCCCAACCTTCCACCTCACAGCCAGGACCTCTGAGGGGCATCTATATCCTGCATATCTAGGCTCTGAAAAGCAGGAGGCCCTGGTTTCCACAGTTGTGGGGCTTCTAGCCAGGGCTGGGCCAGGTTCTCTGAAAAAACAAGCTCCGGGTGCTGCTTTGTCCTCAGGCTACTCCTCCATGGGACCTGCAGGCAGAAAAATGGGTACCACCTGGACCGTGGTGTTAGCAGAAGCAGGGCTGTGCTGCCTGGGGAAGGAGGGGCTCCACGCAAGTACCTCCCGGTACACAGCATTTGATGGCATGTGGACAAGTGCGGGAGCCCTAGACCAAGGACTCTGTGGTGAGCAAGGCTCAGGACCCCTTAGGGGTGAGGGCCTGGGTTACACCACCAGGGGGTCACCAGGACCCTCAGCAGAAGGTGGAGGGGGTGGCAATCATTACCTGTGCGACCCTGAGATGGGTGGCAGCCACAGAACCTAGGGTTCATTGAACCCACCTTTTGTAACTAGTGCCCAGGAAAAGGCCTAGAATTTAATAAAGACGAGGCCCCTGTCAGTGGAGTGCTGGATGGGGCGCACCCCCTGGGGTACACCTGAACCTCCCCCAGGGCCTTGGCTGTGAGCTTTGATTGTAGACATACTTATGCCACGGCCCCTTCAGACTGCTCCCTTCACCTCTGAAAAATCAGACAGGATGCTTCTGTTCCTGGAAACATGAATGCCCTTCATGTGTTTTTTACTTTGACTAGAAACTCATCTGCAACTGAAATATATGCAGAGAACTCATGTGCTCCCAAGGTTTCCAGGCATCTCTGAGAGTTTGCTTCTCAGTTCCCAGGTGTGACAGCTCCAAAGCAGGTGCTGCTGGTTTCTCATCTCAGTGTATTTTAGTTCCCTGTGGACAGCATGTTTCTAACCCCTTGCACACGCTTGGCTCAGATTTTTGAAAAAGCCAAGGGTGGGAGGCAGAATGATGTGGAATGGGCAGAAACTATGAGTAAAGGCTGGCCTCACCCCAGGAGGAGACAGAAGGCATTAGCCCAGTGACAGTGCCAGGGAACCCATGCGGCAGCCTAGGGAAGGTCAGGGAATGGAGCTGGGGTTTCGGCTGTCGCCATCCCAGGGTTAGACTCAGCCAGGTAAACGGCTGATTCTCCTTCATAGAACCCTTGGGCTGGCACAAAACATGTGATTCACAGCGAGAGAAAGACCACTCATGTCCACCCCCTGTAGCCTCCACACACCTGAGCCGGTACCTGACATATCCCAGAACAAGACTCCACAGCTATGCATCTGTTCTCTCCAGGGCATTTCATGATGAGAGAGGGATTTACTTAACATGATGAAAATAGAAGAGGAAATGACCTTGATGAGAACATAGTTCCACACCCGCCATCCAGGGCCTAGGAATAGTGCTCAGCCAGGGCCCGGCCCTTCTAGGGCTCTTGGAAGCTGCAGTGGAGGTGGTGTTGGGACAAGCAAGAGTGACCATTTGCAGGCAGTGTGGGCACCAGGCCATCTGCAGGGGAAAAGCCCAGTGGGAGGATGAGAGGACAGCAGAAACCTGGCAGGGGCTATGCACCCCCTCCCCGTGGGAAGGGGATACACTCCCAGGTGGAGCCACTGTTTACATTGAAATCACTCAAGTCCATCACCAGGAAACACAAAGAGGATTGTCTCACCAGAGATTAGTGACATGGGACTTAAACAAAATGCCAGTCAGCAAATGAGAGGATTCTTACTTCCACAGACCTCATGTCTACAGTTGCAGTAAGCAAGACTGAACTCAGCCATGCTCACCTGCAGACACTGAGATGCTTGCTAGGAGGCTGTGGGGTGGAATACAAGACACGAGGGCTGACAAGGATGGGAAGAGCATCCCTTTCCTTGCTGTGGGGGGCCTTGGCCAGTTCAAAAATAGATAACATGGGTCTCAGAGCTCCTGAGGCAAGAGCTACGTTGGCATTCAGAGATACTTGGATGATGGCATTGTCTTCAGTAGAACCTCGAAAAAGCACCAAGGACTCCCAGGCAACTTAGCTTAAATCTCTCTCGAGTAGAGCTGGTCTTTGGGATCTCCATCAAGTGAGTGATGCCTTTACCACCATGACAGCACATTATAAAGATGGCCTTGCTACCAGCAGGGACAGGCCTGATGATACTGATCCTGAGGAGGAATCTTATAAACCCATATAATTTAATTTTGGGTAGGCTCAAGCTCATCACTGAGATCATCCTTTGTATGACGATCCATGAGGCCACCGTGAAGAGCATGGATGCACCCAGGCCACAGAGGGGCCCTCTTCATCCTGGATGAGGAGCCCACAGTGGCCATTGCCCCTCAGTCAGAATAAAATCAAGACAAAAGCAATCAGAAGACCCATACACTATGAGGCTGAGCCATTTTTCAAAGATGTCAAAATAGGAAAATAATAAAATGGAAGAAAACCCAGAATTTAATCCCCTGACTTGCTCCAGAGGCCTCCCCAACTCCAGGCCACCAGAAGCGGGGACCCTGCAGAGGAACTCTCCCTGGGTAGAAATTCACTGGTTTTTGCCTTCCACCAGATGTTGACAACTTCAATTTCATCTTTTTTGACATCATAGCTAATGTTAAAAGGACTCAGATCAAAAAAAAGTGATGTGGCTGCAGCCCTGACAATGCTCCCAGTGAGAATTTGTGCAAAACTCTTCCCTCGACTTGCAAAACCGGGTCCAGGCAGGGTCTTAGGGCCGTGACGACTGCATCTCTGCCTCCTCTTCTCTGCAGTGCGGCCTCTTCACAGGCAGAGCATTCATTCCTCTTTAGCTTCTCACCAGCCCAGGATGCAGGGAAGAAGTAGCTTATCAGCACAGTCTTGGAATATTTTTACTTTACCAGCTGGGCTCCTATGAACAATGTGTCCAGCTATAGGTAAACAATGTGTGCAAATAATGTGAGAGTGACAGCACCGTGTCAGGACCATGCGAGAAGCTGGCCAGAGGCACTAGCAGCAGATGGGATGCCGATGGGGGTGACCAAAATACAATATGGGGCAGTTGCATGCCATGATCAATCCGCAGGGGTAGGGGAAACAATAACCCTGGGCCTGGCTAACATTTGCATGTGAGAACATTGACCCAAGTCCCCAGGAGAACGTTGAAGAGAACCGCGGCTTATTGTCAAAGGGAAAAGTAACCGCAGAGTTTTCTTTCTGCTTCTAAGCAGATGGGAGGGGTGTAGCCTGCAGAACCAAGGGTGTGGGGGCCCTAGAATGTTGGTGGTGGTTGTTCAGCAAAGGGCTTCGCTTCTCAGCCTGCAGAACTTCCCGCCTGTGAGTGTGGGTTACGTCTATACATACACAGGAAATCATATACTCCCACTCAGCCACCCACATCTAAACATGGTAGTATTAGGAAAAATAGGAAAGCAACATCCTACTAGATTACATTGTTTACAGTGAAACCATTTAAACCCCTGAGCCTCTGTGTCACCAATTAACACTGCGTGTAAGGAGAATGCCTGCCCCGTGGGGGTTTGTAAAGACAAAATGTAAAAATAAAATGTAGGCTGGGCGCGGTGGCTCAAGCCTGTAATCCCAGCACTTTAGGAGGCCGAGGAGCGTGGATCACGAGGTCAGGAGATCGAGACCATCCTGGCTAACTCGGTGAAACCCTGTCTCTACTAAAAAAAATAAACAAATAAATAATAAAATAAAATGTAGAGTGCTTGGTAAACTAAAGTTCTAAATAAATATTAGTTGTTCTATTACTATGTCAGAAGTACAAGTCACAAGACCAGAATACTTCACTTGAATAAGAACTCAGTGCAAAGAAGTTGGATAAATCGGTGAGTTTGAAACTGCAACAGGACTAAAACGATGCCAATTAATTTATTAATGTATTCATATTCATTAACTTATTTATATTCAAATGAATTAAATATTTCGTGCATGCTTGGAGCTGGGAACACACAGCCATCAGGGCCGCACGAACTCCGTCCTCACTGCGGTTGTTTTCAGATGACCTCAGAGGAAAATAAGAGGGAAACACTGGCAATTTCCTCCCGTTGATACCTTAGCTGACTGCATAGCTCATGTTAGGTCGGTCTTAATGAGGAAATCAGAATATTCGGGGCTTCAGTATTAAAACTACAAATCTCTATGGCAAGCATTCAGAGCTCTTTGGATTAGACATCAGTGGCTGCAGTAACGTTACCTGAGAAACCCGCACGCTTTCTGAACACTGGCATGAGTTTCCTTTCCTTTCGGGCCACCATATGTGGAAAAACACTTTCACCCATGACCCTAAGTGTCCCAAACTGCAGAAGAGGCAGATAGTAGCCAGCTAGTCCCTGTCAAAGGCCCATTGCCCTCTTCTGGGTCAGCCTGGTCCACCCAGCCTGAGGTGCTCTCTGAGACAGCCTAGCCACCACGCCACATGCCCCTCAGCCTAATCAGAGCATCAGGATGCTGTGCACAGCCATTAGCTGGGGTGACTCAGAATTATCTGCTGTAGAACAGGGCTCCAAGTGAAGGATGTGGTCACTCAGACCACGTAGATGGTTCAAGCTCTTACTCCTCTGTCAGCTCAGTGCCTGCACAGTGGAAAGGAAGTGCATCTATTGATTTCTTGGCCAAAAGAACAAGTTAATACATTTTTTAAAACTTTGACATTTTGTCTTAAAGCAACAGTGGGCCTTGTTTAACTAAAATCTCATCTCTTCAGCCTAATTTTGCTGGAAAGGCCCCCAACCAAGGCAAGCCCCTGGAGGAGAGAGAGCAGCTAGGATGCTGGCACCAGATGGCTTTGTTCCCCAGCCTTCAATATACTCAGTTACAAAATAACCACATCAGAGGTTTGATAAGATTATCCCCCAGGCCATTTTTCAGGTCTAAATGTTACCATATTTTACGAGAATACAGTATTTGAATCAACTCTCAGGGGACCCAGACTTCAGGAGACACTGAAGGAATACAGCCATTTTTCTAGCCTCAAAAGCATGGTTTGCAAACTGGCTTGTTCTTTGCAGGAGAAAACCACACACGTGGCCATTGACGCCCTTGGTTGGCAGAGTTGACGGGATTTTCTCTGGCTCTCACCTTGAGGGCATCATCAGCATCCTGAAGTCACTAGCGGGCCTCTGTGCAGATGTCCTTTCGAGGGGCTTCAGGCTGTGGAAGTGACCAGTGAACACAGGACCTGCCCGGACTCCCAGCCTCACAGCACAGCACCACAGCCTGGACTGCCCCCTGCCTGATACTTGCTTGGTTTGGAACTTTACTCCATCAAAGCATCCAAATAAAAATATGTAGACTCCCCACCCTATCCCATCTGCTATAGGGTTCTAATCCCCCCACAGACATCCCATCACAGTGCTTTCCCCCATGACGGGGGACTCCTGAGCTGGACTCCATCCCTCCCCTACCAGAAAAGCACAGGTGCTGTGGCATGAGTTCAACCGCCTGAAATTCCCTGATCTTCAGAGTAATAATTCTAAAATAGGGCAACAATATCCCTGTCAGTGTTCTTGGAAGAACTTCTCATTACTTGAGGCCCCAGAAATGCAAACACTCCTCCGTTTTTCCAGCGTGCTGTCAACCCTGGCATCAGAGCTCTTCCTGCCGTGGGCACTGGTAATTGACTTACTGGAGAAAGTCAAGCTTTTAAGTCCCAGGAATAAAGGGTTCCTATTTCCTTAAGCTGTGTTTATTTTTACGCTATTGCTGGTAGAGTCAATGTGTACTGAGTGAAGATGAGGCAAGAGTGTCAAAGAGTGATTTCCAATAAGATGAAAAGTGATCTGCAGTTTCTACTTCCTTAACCAGCAGGAAACGTTTCTCCTGTAGCATCGGACAGTGGAGACAGTGGCGCTCAGTGTGGGGCCTCCTGGCTGAAGGAGGGGACAACACGGTGTCCCATCTCCCTAGATGCTGTATGCACCTCACCTGGCTGGTGATTTACTTGACAGAAACCCATGTGTGGAGTAGGGAGTGCTGCCTTTGGCATCTACCCAGGTTCTGCTCTGGACTCTGCCTCTTAGCAAGGGTGACTTGTGAGCCCAAATCACCTGGTGGCTGTGAGCCACTCCACTCCAGCCTGGGCAACAGAGTGAGACCTTGTGTGAAAATAAAATAAAATATAAAAATAAAAATAAGCCGGGAATGGCGGCTCACAGCTGTAATCCCAGCACTTTGGGAAGCCGAGACGGGCGGATCACATGTGGTCGGGAGTTCGAGACTAGCCTGATCAACATGGAGAAACGCTGTCTCTACTAAAAATACAAAAAATTAACCGGGTGTTGTGGCTCATGCCTGTAATCCCAGCTACTCAGGAGGCTGAGGCAGGAGAGTCACTTGAACCCAGGAGGCAGGCGTTGCAGTGAGCCAAGTTCCTGCCATTGCACTCCAGCCTGGGCAACAAGAGCGAAACTCTGTCTCAAAAATAAAATAAAAGTCTTTAAGTCATTCATCAATTTTATGTGTTTACTATTTCTTCTCCCATTCCATAAAGCCTACAGTCATATAACACAAAGGGAAAATCAGGACAGCCACATATAAATAAAGGTGCAAAGTCGAGGCAAGAGTGGACCTTAGGGGCCAAGCAGGGGTCATTGCTGAGCTTCACATTTAGCCCTGGGCTTTCTGGAAGCCAGAGTGAAAAGAGAGACACAACCAGCTGCATAAGAGTTATCAAAAAGCAGGAAGCGCACTGGTTTTTCTGGTAGTAAAGCAAGGGCTTTCCAAGAATTTACCTCTAAAGTAATTTCTTTCATTCTTTCTTTTTTCTCGCTCTGACACCCAGTTGGAGTGCAGTGGCACAATCAGGGCTCACTACAACGTCTGCCTCCCAGGCTCAAGCCATCCTCCCACCTCAGCCTCTCAAATAGCTGGGACTACAGGCACGCACCACCATGCCTGGCCAGTTTTTTGGTATTTTTTGTAAAGGTGGGATTTCACCATGTTGCCTAGGCTGGTCTGGAACTCCTGAGCTCAAGCAATCCACCTGCCTTGGCCTCCTAAAGTGCTGGGATTTCCGGCATGAGACACTGTGCCCGGCCTAAAGTAATTTCTTACTTGAGATTTTATTTCAGGCCACTGTGTCATGCACTGGGCAGTACAGCCTGGTGAGTGAGAGTACAGTGGTTTTTTGTGTGTTTGTTTGTTTGTTTGTTTGTTGTCTGCTGGGTTTGGGTTTGAATTTTGTTTTAATACATGCAATTTATTCTGTGCTTCACTTTCTTCATCTGTAACATGGAGATAACGGCGTCTACCTATTAAAGTTGTGAAGATTCAATTAGATGAGTTGTATGAATAAATGTTAGCCTTTTTTTTTTTTTTTTTTTTTTGAGATGGAGTCTCGCTCTGTCACCCAGGCTGGAGTGCAGTGACGCAATCTTGGCTCATGGCAACCTCTGCCTCCCAGGTTCAAGCTATTCTCCTGCCTCAGCCTCCCAATTAGCTGCGATTACAGGCACCCGCCACCATGCACGGCTAATTTTTGCATTTTTAGTAGATCCGCGTTTTCACCATGCTGGCCAGGCTGGTCTCGAACACCTGACCTCAGGTGTTCCACCCGCCTCAGCCTCTCAAAGTGCTGGGATTACAGCCGTGAGCCACCGCGCCCAGCCAGCTATCAAGAAATTATACTGCCTACTACTTAGCCTGCACAGTTCTAGGTGCTGGGGAAATAGTGATGAACAAGACAAACAAGATCCTTATCTTCAAGTAGCTTTTACATTCTAAGTGGAGTGAAAAAACAATAAACATTGAAAATAAATTTCAGAAAGTGCTGTGGAAAAACTTTACAACAGATGCAGGAATAGATTTCATTTGACTAGCTCTCCCAGACAGTTTCCAGAAAAGTCAAGGGTAGAATGTTAAAAGGCAACTCAGAGGAGGTGAATCTGTTAGGGCCTGCGGTAATGCAATCCTGGTTTGTGGAATTCTGCAGGCTAATGTGGGTAGGTTACAATTTGCGGGGGAGGGGTTTATTTTGTTTGAAAATTCACTTCTTCCCGCTAAGCTTTTGATTAGGAGCTGAAGTTGAATCAGCTTGAAATTGTATTCTGGACCGGGTGCGGCGGTCCATGCCTTTAATCCCAGCGCTTTGGGAGGCCGAGGTGGGTGGATTGCTTGAGCCCAGGAGTTCGAGACCAGCCTGGACAAAATGGCAGAAACTCCGTGTCTACAAAAAATACAAAAATTGGCGGGGCATGATGTTCTGCGCCTGTAGTCCCAGCTACTCAGGAGGCTGAGGTGGGAGGATCACTTGAGCCCGGGAGGCGGAGTTTGCAGTGAGCTGAGATGTCACTGCATTCCAGCCTGGGCGACAGAAAAAAAAAAAAGAAATGAAAAAAAGAAATTGTATCCTGAATACATCTTCTAAAACACTACATTTACTTGCACTATATTAAACTGCTTTTATCCTGACCACAATTGCAGGTGAAAGATAACCACTGTTGTTCTATTTTTCTGGTAAGTAGAGTGAGCCATGTCTTGCCCAGGGAAAGACGCCTCCTAAAAATTTGTAGGACCACCTTTGGTTTTCTTCCAGATTTATTTTTGTCATCGCTTTTCCTGCGCCCAATTCCCATCTGTCTAGCCCTTCTGCCTCCGCTGGGCTTTTTCGCGAGCCTCTCCCCAAACGCTGGTATTCGTCTGGGCTGCAGCCCCGCCTATCTCCTGGGGCGTGACCACCTGTCCAGGCCCCGCCCCCGTCCACCAGGCGGAGACCCGCCCCCTTTCCCGGAGACCCGCCCCCTTTCCCGGACACCCGGTTCAGCGCCCGAGCCTGCGCGCGCGTCTCCGCTCGTCGCCCGGCTCGGCGTCGGGAGTGCACTCTGTGTGGCCGCTGCTGCAGTGTTGTTGTGGTTGTGAGAAGGCGGCGGCGGCGGCGGAGTAGCAGCCGGACCAGACGCCCTAGTAGCTCAGTCGCTGCCCTGCGCCGGGCCTGGCAGGGAGCCTGGTGAGATGGTGGAGGAGGAGGCTGTGCCGTGGCGGGCCTTGCCATGTCCTGCTGCCTGGTAAGAACCCCATCCCCGTCCCCTGTCTCCTCCCGGGGTGAGGAGGAGCTGGAGGAGGGGCCGGCCTCTATGGCCCCGGCCAGGCGGCTGTCACCCTCTGAGGAGGCAGCGCCCGGGGAGGGGCGTCCCGGGCGGCCGCCGCCGCCAGGGGGAGGCGCTGGGAGTGGGAGTGGGAACGGGACCTCAGCGGTCGAGCTCGGCCGGGACCCTAGGTGCGGGGGAGGCGGGGTCCCGGGCTCCGGCTGCCTGCCCAGACCTGGCGGGGATGGGCCCGTGCGGCTCCGGGTGTGGGACGTACCCTGGGAGCGCCCGGGTTATTCCCACTGACTCCCGGGAGGTGGGTGTGCGCCCTTCGCCCCCTGCCTGGTCTGTGGGGATCCATCGTTGCTGGAGACTGGAGGTCGGGGGCCATGGGAGCCCCGGGGCGAACGGTGCGGGCCTGGGTCTTGTGGAAAGGAGGAGCGACCGCCTGAGCGTGCAGCAGGACATCCTCCTGACCTGGTAATAGGTGGGAAGGATGGTTGGGGGCGGTTGGCGTAACTCAGGGAACACTGGTCAGACTGCTCCCCAAACGATTACAGTGTTATTTCTCCGGTAGAAATTTTCCTTGATGTATGGTATTTCCGGACCCATAAGATGATGTCAGTCGTATTTTGGGCTGGAAAAGTTATGTCAAAATTATGGGGTAGATTTTATGGCCACATTAATAGACTCCCCTGGAGTTTGATAATCTCACTTGTGAGTTTTGGACATGAACTACTATTACATATTGATGTTCAAATGTCGTTTCCAGACCGAGGCCTAAATTCTTACTGTTCTAGTATCTTGATATCCACTTTGTTTTCTGACATCTGTTTTTCCACAACCCAAACAAACAAAACAACACCCCCAAACCATATACTTTTGCAGTTGAGGTTCAACTTTCTCTTATGTGAATGGTAATGCCATGAGAGGCCTGGGTTGAATTACAGGAGATGATTTTTTTAAAATGTTAGATGTTTATGATTTGTCCGTGGAGAGGTGGTGGGGGACCATCCCCCTTCAGATTCAGGGCTGTTCAGTAGGACAGGAGACATTGATGGCATGCAGAAAGTCTTCCCTTTATAGGGCCTATGACTTGGGCAGGCTAGAAGAGTTTACAGAATGACACTTTTTTTTTTTTTTTTGAGACGTTATCTCGCTCTGCCGCCCAGGCCGGAGTGCAGTAGTGTGATGTCTGCTCACTGCAACCTCCGCCTCTCGGATTCTAGCAATACTCCCACCTTAGCCTCCCAAGTAGTTGGGATTGCAAGTGTGCGCCACCACGGCTGGCTAATTTTTGTATTTTCAGTAGAGACAGGGATTTCTCCGTGTTGGCTAGGCTGGTCTGGAACTCCTGACCTCAAGTGATCCACCTGCCTCGGCCTTCCAAAGTGTTGGGATTACAGGCGTGAGCCACCACCCCCAGCCAGAATGACACTGTTTTGAGTAACCCAGTATAGTATGTGATATTAAACTAAATTTGGAGGATTCTAGAATTCTAGATTGGCTGCCTATGACGACAGACCTCTTTTGGCTGCAATTACTCCCTCAGTTTCAGGTGACTCAGAGAACTTCAAGTGACCAGCACAGTGGTACAGCCCCACTTGTCGTTAATGGCCTGCCATAAAAGAACCCAAGTTTCTCAGCTCATAGGCCAGGTTCTTCAGTGGTTGTCTAGTTTAAGGCTGGTCATTAGCAATATTATGGACTACCTAAGTTCCTCGAACTTATGCAGGACCTAATGAATTAAAATCTCTGAGGATAGGGCCTGGGAATCCATCCTTACAAAGCTCCCTGATTGATTGTGGTCAGCAAGGCATGTGAACTTTTGCTTTAGGTTGGGTATTCCAAAGAATTCCCATTAATTATGGCTTCCCAGGGTGCTTTTGTTTATAGCTTTTTAAGAATTTAAGAAGTGGAGAAGGGGAAGCATGAGAAACTTAAAGGATGCAAATTGAGCATCTCTTAAAATATAATGGATTTGTGTAGGTGAAACAGATTTGCTGCCAAAAGTTAATTTGTGCACAAGTTATCAGGAACACACTTGATAAAATTAGATGCTGATTAATTGGAGATACATTGTATCCAGAGATACACAAGAATCCAGAGGAAATAAACAGAGAAGGAGAGGAAGTAAGTCAGCTTCTGGCTCATAAAGGGGTCCACTGAAGATGCTCCCTAACATGGTTGCTCCTAAACCATCTGACTCAGATTTCTAGTGGAGGGTAGGATGGGTGTGTTAGCAGTCATTTGAGATCAGGGTTGTGAACCAGGAAGGGTTACTACAGATTGTGAAAAGTTCTTGAAATTTACCGCAGGCCATGAGGAGTGGTAAAGTCAGTTTAAAAATCTGCTGTAGTTCTAGTTAACACGTTCACACCTTCTTTAGTGAAGTAGAATGCTGAGTTACCAAAGGACGTATTCACGTTTTAGAGGGGGTGTGGTGAAGGTTATTATAAGTTTGGAAGAGGTGGAAGAAAATGTTGTTATAGTTGTGTAGAGTAGTGAAGGACTTTGGCAAATATCCTGTCAAATCATGAAGTAGTATTTTTAGAGAGTTGCACCCAGCTGTCCATTAGAAGAGCCAGAGGCCTCGTCTGTTTTGTTCCCTGGTGTCGCCAATACCCAGCACAGTTATCAGCATATTCTATACCCTCAGATTTTTTTTTTTAGTAAGTGAATAGTATTGATATGGAAAAAAGAACAGTTATGGTGGTTTATAGCCATGTTAGTTATTAAAAGCTACTTGATAATTTGCAATGGATTAAAGAGCCAGTTTTTGATCAAGTAGGGCTCTGGATAGGAAAGAAAATAAAAAAAATAAAGAGCCAGCTTTCAGTGCTTGTTGTTTGGAATTTTTGAGATTCCTTTAAGAAATTGTTTTCTAAAGACTGTCGTGAACATTGTTGTGTCCCCTGGTTTTTGAGTCTTAATGTGTCTTAAGTGTTTTAGATGTTAGTGACTTTTTTAAGAGCACATTAAATGCAGAGGTAATATAGAATAATGGGAAGTTCTGGATTGACAGATAGACATATATTCTGATTCCATCTGTGTCATTAATTGCTGTTGGGAATGTCACTTAACTTCTCTGGGCATCAATTTTCTCATCTATACAATTAAGGGCCTATAGTCTTTGACCTCAAGTAGTTTCTCTAGCCTGATTCTGTAAATTTTTAATAAGTTCTAATTATGTTATTTGGTATTCATCTCATATAGGTAGACTAACCTTTGCCATTTAAAAGAAACAAGATTCTGTGTTGGGTTCTGCTTTTAGCTTATGGATTTTAGACATTGTCCAAAAGTGCTTCGGAAATTGAATGTATGTTGCAAGTATTATGTAGTAAGAACATGCTTATGCTGTTGTAATTCGCTTAGTGTTGAAATCAAATCAGGTTTTACATTGGGAACTTCATAATTTAGTGTGAAGCCACAAGACTTGAGAATGATTTGGGGGAGTATGTGCAATTTATATAGCTAGTTGTTTCTTACCACCCAATTCTGTAATTTTCTATGGTGAATATATACATAAATTTATAATCATGTAACATTGATTGAAGATATAAGATGATATCAGATTCATATTGGATTGAACTAGGACTGCCAGTAACTTTAGAGGCCTCCAAAATTATTAACATGTCATTGCTATATTTAATCTTAATTTTTTGGTATCATCAATATTGATATCATGCTTTCACCTTTGCTTTTGTATCTAGAAACAATATACTTTTTAAGTTCATACTTGTATCAGATATTAAAAATGAAAATTGTAGCATAAAAGTGGATAGATGAGTAAATCTTGGGTTCAAGCCTGCGTTGTATTCTTCATTAGCCGTGTTGTTTCTGGCAAGCCACGTAACCCCTCTGAGCTCCAATTCCTTCATTAGTGAAAGGAAGAAGAGCAGCTTCTCTACTTTTCTAACAGACTGCCAGGGGGAGAATGCAACGGAATAATGTGTTTGAAAAGTATTCAAAAAATGTAAGGGTCTGGTATTAGAATCCTATTATACTGGAATCCTGTTTTATTTCTTGGAAGAATTGGCTTGTGGAGCAGTAGTAAACCTGGTCCACATTGTCAAGTGCAGAATTTAGCAATATCACTGATAAGGCAACAGAAAAGGTTTCTGCTTCTGTAGTCTGGCTGGAGAAACCTTTCAGCAAATGTATCCTGTCTGCCAGTTGGAATAATCACAATGTTGCAGGGACTTCAGAGGAACCTGGGGTGTCTCACATTTATGCCAAGGTCTGTACTTAGAATAGACTTGCTAGATTTTACCCATTTTCTTATGTTGGAGTCGTGGGAGAAGGTGGTAGGAGCAAGGAGTTTAGCACACTCTGCATAAAGTTTTAAGGCTACATTTTTAAGTAGCAGGTGGCAGTGTCATAGGGTAATGAAATCAATGTACTTATTTTAAAAAGCATTTTAAAAAAGAATATATCAGTACATTGTGTAAAGTAAAAGTAAATATTGATTTGGGAAACTTTTCTTTCTTTTTAAAAGATATGTTTATGTATGTATACTTGGTTGCCGTGTAAAATGTATTTTTTCTTTTTAAAAATTATTATTTTCATTTTTTGTAGAGACAGGGTTTTGCTACATTGCCCAGGCTGGTCTTGAACTCCTGGGCTTGAGTAGTCCTGCCTTGGTCTCCCAAAGTGCTGGGATTATAGACATGAGCCACTGCACCTGGCCTAGAAAGTTATTTTTTCTTTTGGGTCGTGATAAAACTTGGTCGTAGTTGTTTAGGGACATAGTACTTGTGCAATGCCGATAGAAAGACTGTCTATAAAATAATAAGGCATGAAACAAATGAAAACAAAGAGAAAATTGTGAAGATGGGTTACCTTAAAGCTATTCTGTTAGCGGTGAAATACCTCATAGCTTTGTTCTAAATTGTTGAATTAATGAACAAAGCACATAAACTTATGCTATAATAATCTTCTTAAGTACTCTTTTCCCTTAAGATGGAGTGTGGAGTACTTGTTAACCACACAGGTATTGTCTTGATCTGATAACTATAGATATTCAGAATGATTCTGTTATGACAGATGGTAGCAAGCTTTTCTGATTTCACTTATCTGGGGTCTAAATCTAATTTCTTTAGTAGTTAATACATATATATATATTTTTTGAGACAGAGTCTTGCTCTGTCACCCAGACTGGAGTGCAATGGCATGATCTCGCCTCACTGCAACCTCCGCCTCCCAGGTTCAAGTGATTCTCCCTGCCTCAGCCTCCCGAAGTAGTTAATACTTTTGTAACTTAGTTGCAGAAGAGAGATAGAAATTTCTGAATAATTTTCAGAATTATTCATAGATTTATAATCTGGCAGAATATAAGGAAGTTATAAGTATATTGATAAATCATGACATAACTGGCAAGAATTGGTATAAAGACAAGATGGTTAACTTGAAACAGGGTTGTTGTTTATTATATGCCTATCATTTTTCCATGAGATAAACCAAATATTAGATTAAGTATTTAGACTGATCCACAAATGACATGGGAAGACAGAGTGTTTACAAAGAGTTTTAGAAGTGATACAGGACAATAATTTGGAGTTTTAACTTAATCTCATTTTAAATTTCAAAGTGAAATTATTTCTGATTATGAAAGCTACAGAACTTTTTTTTAGATGGAGTCTCATTGTGTCACCCAGGCTGGAGTGCAGTGGCGTTTTCTCAGCTCACTGCAACCTCTGCCTCCTGGGTTCCAGCAATTCTGCTGCCTCAGCCTCCCGAGTAGCTGGGATTACAGGTACCCACCACCATACCTGGCTAATTTTTGTATTTTTAGTAGAGACAGGGTTTCACCATGTTGGCCAGGCTGGTTTCTAACTCCTGACCTCAGGTGATTCACCTGCCTTGGCCTCCTAAAGTGCTAGGATTACAGGCGTGAGCCAATGCATCTGGCCCAGAACAGTTTTAATGTTTTTCTTTTTTAAAAAAAGTAGAGATAACCTGTAATCCCATCTGGATGTGATGTTTGGTGTTTTCATTTTTTTTCTTATGCATACCTATTGAAATACCTTAAAAAAGAACAACTTTCCATGTAAAATTGATATTCCCTCAATGAGTAAATGAGTATTTAGTGTTCTATAATATGGATGCATCATAGTTTATAGCAGTTCTGTGTTGTTAATGGATATTGCCAATTTTTCTCTTAAAGTAGTACTGTGATGAACTTGTTTGGGCATTGAATTGTCCTATTATTTCCTTAGGATAATTTTTTTTTTTTTGAGACAGAGTCACTCTGTCACCCAGGCTGGAGTGCAGTGGTATGATCTTGGCTCACTGCAGCCTCTGCCTCCCAGGTTCAAGTGATTCTCCTGCCTCAGCCTCCTGAGTAGCTGGGAGTACAGCCGTGCACCGCCACGCCCAGCTAATTTTTTGCATTTTCAGTAGAGATGGGGTTTTACCATGTTGGCCAGGCTGGTCTCGATCTCCTGACCTCGTGATCCGGCCGTCTTGGCCTCCCAAAGTGCTAGAATTACAGGCCTGAGCCACCGCGCCTGGCCCAGGATAAATTCTTAAAAGCGGATTTATTAGCCAGGCATGGTGGCTCATGCCTGTAATCCCAGCACTTTGGGAGGCCAAGGCGGGTGGGTGGATCACCTGAGGTCAGCAGTTCAAGACCAGCCTGGCCAAAATGGTGAAACCCCATCTCTACTAAAATACAAAAATTAGTCTGGTGTGGTGGCGAGGGTCTATAATTCCAGCTACTTGGAAGGCTGATGCACAGAGAATCACTTGAACCCAGGAGGCGGAGGCTGCAGTGAGCCGAGATTAAGCTACTGCACTCCAGCCTGGGCGACAGAGTGAGACTCATTCTAAAAAAAAAAAAAAAAAAAAAAAAAAGGGCTTATTAGGTCAAAGGGTATGTGTGTTTTAAATGTGGATATACTCAAGATGCCCTTTAGATAGGATGTCTATTTGAAATTCCCGTCAACAGCATATTAGTATTCAATTCCATATATTCTTGCTAGTGATTTGTCATCTTTAGCTTGTTGGGAGTTCAAAATAGTTTGAAACAGTTTTTCTTCTGTTTCTTTTTCAGCATCAGGACTTACTTCCATAGCTTAACTCTTGGGAGGGAGCTGATAAAAATGAAAGTTCAGTGACAATGAGTCGTGTAGACCAGTGGTCTCCAAACTTTCGTTGCTTACCCCATCACCAAAAACTTTTGAGCATTAAGCAGGTGTGGTACGTGGTCCTGTGGTCCCAGCTACGTAGTTGGCTTAGGCAGGAGGATATTTGAGGTCAGGAGTTCAAGGCTAAAGTTCACTGTGATTGTGCTTATGAATACCGCCGCTGTACTCCAGCCTGGGCAACATAGTGAGACCCTGTCTCTTTAAAAAAAAAACAAAAAACTGATGGGATGGGAAGAATGAAGTCAGGAAAAAAAATTGATACAACTTCATGTTGTTGCTTTGAAAAAAGAGAAAAAGAAAAATATTGAGCATCAGTTCTTAATCCTTAGATATTTAATTTACAAGTAATAAACATATAGTAACTGATTATTGTGGACTTTAAAATACAAACAAAAAATTAACAAGGATGATAATTAAAAATAAAGTTCAAATATTTTCCTTTTTTACCCTGGGGCTTCTTGGGTACTCCTGGAGGTGTGTGTGTGTGCAGGCATGTGTATATGTGTGTGTGTGTATATGTATAATATATATGTATATATAATAATATATGATCTATATACATATTTTTGAGACAAGAGTCTTGCTCTGTTACCCAGACTGGTGTGCAGTGGTGTAATCTTGGCTCACTACAACCTCCGCCTCCTGGGTTCAAGTGATTCTTGTGCCTCAGCCACTTGAGCAGTTGGGATTACAGGTGTCTGCCACCATGCCTGGTTAATTTTTGTATTCTTTGGTAGAGATGGGTTTTCACCATGTTGGTCAGGCTGGTCTTGAACTCCTGGGCTCAAGTGATCCGCCAGCCTCAGCCTCCCAAAGTGCTGGGATTCCAGGTGTGAGCCACCATGCCCGATCTCCTGGAGGTATGTTATACTTGCTTTGGATACTACTGCTTTAGACCCTTGAGGTTTAATATTGGGCATTTATAGATGTTTGTTTTTGGGCATTTCACTAGTTTTGCAGGTGGTCCTGTTTAGTTGGATTATGAATGCCTTTAAAATGTCCCATGCTAGGCCGGGCATGGTGGCTCACGCCAGTAATCCCAGCACTTTGGGAGACCGAGGCGGGTGGATCATGAAGTCAGGAGATTGAGACCATCCTGGCTAACACGGTGAAACCCCATCTCTACAAAACTACAAAAAGCTAGCTGGGCGTGGTGGCACACGCCTGTAGTTCCAGCTACGCGGGAGGCTGAGGCAGGATAATCTCTTGAACCCAGGAGGTGGAGGTTGCAGTGAGCCGAGATTGCACCACGGCACTCCAACGTCTGTGACAGAGCGAGACTCCATCTCAAAAAAAAAAAAAAAAAGAAACTCCCCATGCTCTTTAGAGTCGTATCTGCAATAAGGGCAAAAATAAATTTAAAGCATCAGTTTGATACTTTTTTGCATCGTTGAGGTGGCTGAATTTGAAAAGGATAAATCGTAGGATAAAAAGCAATGTAAATAGTCTATTTCTTTTAGATACAAACAGTTGATACTGTGTAGAGCATATTTTTTAAAATTATGTTTTTTGGAAAGCAATTTGGCTATAATATATATCTCCCTGTTTTTTAAGAGGTTAGGTGTTAGAGACTGAGTGAAGGGAAGAATAATTGCTACTTGCTCTCCTTTGCTTTCAAAGTACCACAATTAACCTGTCACTAACTATTTGGATTAGCCTGAGCCTATAACAAACTTTCCATGGTGATTCTTAGATTAAAAGATAATTTTTTTCTTGAGTTTGAATAAGTTGCTTTTGATCTGTGGCTGCCTGCCCCCTAACCCCTATAAATTATGAAATCAGGAAATAAAGCTTTTTGTATTAGAAAAAAGTGAATCTTTTCTCCCCCATCATGGGAAAATTAATTTCAGTTACTTCATATGGGTCATTGGCAGAGAAAGATAATATCAAAATCTTAGAGACTGTCAAAAGAGATTATATTAAGCAACTTGAGTGATTATTTTTTGCCAGTTAAAAGAAATGAGGGGCCGGGCGCGGTGGCTCACACCTGCCATCCCAGCACTTTGGGAGGCCAAGGTGGGCGGATCACAAGGTCAGGAGATCGAGACCATCCTGGCTAACACAGTTGAAACCCCATCTCTACTAAAAATACAAAAAATTAGCCAGTCGTGGTGGTGGGTGCCTGTAGTCCCAGCTACTTAGGAGGCTGAGGCAGGAGAATGGCCTAAACCCCAGAGGCAGAGGTGGCAGTGAGCCGAGATCACGCCACTGCACTCCAGCCTGGGTGACAGAGCGAGTCTCCATCTCAAAAAATAAATAAATAAATAAAGATAATTTCTATTGAAGATGATTGCTATAAACAGTGCTTTGCACAAATGGCTACATATCTCTTTTTACTTTAGGTAACATGATTTATAAGCTACTTTCACATATATCTTCTTAGATCATCACAAGGATTTGAGATCATCATTTAATCAGGACTGTTGTGACTTGCTTGAGGCCACATGCCTAGTGTTTGACATCATACTTCAAGAGACAGATTGAAAGTTCTGCAGAAATAGGGACTGGTGGCTGTTCTCTCCCTTACTCCCTAGCAGTTAATACATTGCCTGGTACAGAGTAAGCTATCGATATTTGTGGACTAACTGTTTAAACTCCTGCATATTTATTTATACGTGTAAATAAGTTATAGCATTATAAAATCAACAGTTACGTTTTCCGTAGTTAGATTGTTCCTTCATCTTATGTGCACAGAAACTATTTTTGTGGAAGAGGTCATGAATTTTAGATCAACCTTTCACATATCCCTTTACTGTCTCTTAAGATACTTTCATGGTGACAAAAAACATACTCTTGTTCTAGATCCCTGAGGAATTACCACACTGACTTCCACAATGGTTGAACTAGTTTACAGTCCCACCACCAGTGTAAAAGTGTTCCTGTTTCTCCACATCCTCTCCAGCACCTGTTGTTTCCTGACTTTTTAATGATCGCCATTCTAACTGGTGTGAGATGGTATCTTATTGCGGTTTTGATTTGCATTTCTCTGATGGCCAGTGATGATGAGCATTTTCTCATGTGTCTTTTGGCTGCATAAATGTCTTCTTCTGAGAAGTGTCTGTCCATATCCTTCGCCCACTTTTTGATGGGGTTGTTTGTCTTTTTCTTGTAAATCTGTTTGAGTTCATTGTAGATTCTGGATATTAGCCCTTTGTCAGATGAGTAGATTGCAAAAATTTTCTCCCATTCTGTATGTTGCCTGTTCACTCTGATGGTAGTTTCTTTTGCTGTGCAGAAGCTCTTTAGTTTAATTAGATCCCATTTATTTGACCCAGCAATCCCATTACTGGGTATATACCCAAAGGATTATAAATCATGCTGCTATAAAGACACATGCACACGTATGTTTATTGCGGCACTATTCACAATAGCAAAGACTTGGAACCAATCCAAATGTCCAACAATGATAGACTGGATTAAGAAAATGTGGCACATATACACCATGGAATACTATGCAGCCATAAAAAATGATGAGTTCATGTCCTTTGTACGGACATGGATGAGGCCGGAAACCATCATTCTCAGCAAACTATCGCAAGGACAAAAACAAACACCGCATGTTCTCACTCATAGGTGGGAATTGAACAAAGAGAACACATGGACACAGGAAGGAGAACATCACACACACCAGGGCCTGTTGTGGGGTGGGGGGAGCGGGGAGGGATAGTATTAGGAGATATACCTAATGTTAAATGACGAGTTAATGGGTGCAGCACACCAACATGGCACATGTATACATATGTAACTAACCTGCACGTTGTGTACATGTACCCTAAAACTTAAAGTATAATAATTTTAAAAATACTCTTAATGTCATTCCTTTCACTGTGTGTGTAACTCCTGTGGCAAGACTGTATATTCGTATATATGTATGTATGTATTTGTTTATTTAGTAGGCTGCTATTTATAAAGGAAACATACTCATTAGTTGGTCTTTGCATACATAATGGTTCCCAAAACATGGACTCCATGGTTTGCTGTGAGTGAATGAAGAAAAAGCAGGCATGATTTCCCTCACCTTTGTCATTCTCTCCAGTTTCCTGTACATATGGTTGACTTACTCAGCAGTAAGTGTAACTTCTTTACACTGAAGAAAATTAGTCTTCCAAAGAATTAGTATGCTACTTCCCCCTTGTTCTGCAGTACTTAAAATCCTGTTTGGTAAATGAACTAATACACTTTGATATACAGAAGAGATCCTGGATTGCCATGAATGGAAATATTAGTAGTGATTAATTTCTGTCTCGGTGGGATAATGTGGCTTTTTTGCTTCTTATTCTTCTATAGTTTCCCATTTTTCTACAATGAGCATGTATTACTTTTATAAGTAGGAAAAATTGCTATTTTATTTTTATTTTTTAAGACAGAGTCTCACTCTGTCACCCAGGCTGGAGTGAAATGGTGCGATCTCAGCTCACTATAACCTCTGCCTCCCAAGTTCAAGCGATTCTCATGTCTCAACCTCCCAAGCAGATGAGACTACAGGCACAAGCTGGCCACAGCCAGCTAATTTTTGTATTTTTTAGTAGAGATGGGATTTCACCATGTTGGCCAGGCTGGTCTTGAACTCCTGACCTCAGGTGATCCGCCCATGGCCTTCCAAAGTGCTGGGATTACAGGTCTGAGCCACCACGCTCAGCCAAAAACTGCTATTTTAAAGTCTTTATTTTTCACTGGATGTCTTGTGAAGGTTTAGGTCACAGTCACCATTGAGAAAGTGGGTGGTTAACTGGCTCCAGTTCCTAAGACGAGTGGCAGCTGTAGGAAGTAGTATGGGAGGAATGGGGCAGGTAAGCTTATTTGAACTTTATCATTGTGAACTCTACTATGACTGAAGACATTGTGGGATTTGATCACAGTTAAACACAAGAGGACTGAGCCATCTAGTTTTTCTCTTTTTAATAAGCTGATTGAGAATTATGAAAGATACCTTAAGAAAAATTGGTTTCTATGAACTCTGTAAATGCAGAACTCAGCCTGAACTCCCAAGTTCTGTATCCGTGTATGTGTGTTTGTGTGCTTGTGTGTTGTGGTGTGTTTTAAATATCAAGTGGAGTTGTAGCAACTCAGGTAGGATATGGTTTATATTAATACATCTAATATGAATTGGAAGAGATTTAGGCAAATGATTTTTATTATGACAGTATAGGCTTATTGGAGATTTGGTGTTAATATACAGCTGGGAGTTAAGCCGTTCTACGTTTATATACCCATCTGGTGATATTTTAGGAAGAGCTGTGTCATATATTCTCTAGAGTTTAAGTGATTAGAGCTTGTTGGCTTTTGCTGTTTACTGCACACTTGTAGTGTTTTAAATGCTTCTGTGAATGGAGAACATCATTCAAAAAGGTGAGATTTCTGGGTTAAGACATTCGTTATTGTCTGCCCTTACTTTATTCTTTTAAAGAGTAAGATTAGGCTGAACGCCGTGGCTCATGTCTATAATCCCAGCACTTTGGGAGGCCAAGGTGGACAGATGAGATCAGGAGTTTGAGACCAGCGTGGCCAACATGGCAAAACCCCGTCTCTATTAAAAATACAAAAATTAGCCGGGCGTGGTGGTGGACGTCTGTAATCCCAGCTACTCAGGAGGCTGAGGCAGGAGAATCACTTGACCCCTGGAGGTGGAGGTTGCAGTGAGCCGAGATTTGTGCCACTGCCCTCCAGCCTGGGTGACAGAGGGATACTCTGTCTCAAAAAAAGAAAGTTGAAGAGCAGTTGAGGTAATAAATGTAGGTACTGTTAGGTTGGTACAAAATTAATGGTGGTTTTGGATTACGAATTTTAAATTATTATAACTAGGCCCAAACACATCTTTATCAAAATAGGAAACATTACAATCAACACATTTTTTGCCAATGAGAAATAAGTTTGTTTATTCCTGTAGCGTAAAAATCCATGCTTCGGGATTCGATGAACTCTTGGAAAGCATTTTCTGCATCCTGATGGTTGTGGAAGCATTTTCCCTGCAAAAAATTTTCTAGATGCTTGGAAAAGTGGTAGTCGGTTGGTGAGAGGTCAGTTCAATATGGTGGATGAGGCAAAACTTTGTAGCCCAATTCATTCAACTTTTGAAATGTTGGTTGTGCAACATGTTGTCGGGTGTTGTCGTGGAGAAGAACTGGACCCTTTCTGTGGACCAGTGCCAGCTGCAGGCCTCGCAGTTTTCGGTGCATCTCATCGATTTGCTGAGCATACTTCTCAGATGTATTGGTTTTACTATGATTCAGAAAGCTGTAGCGGATCAGACCAGGAGCAGACCACCAAACAGTGACCCTGACCTCTTTTTGATGAAAGTTTGGCTTCAGGAAGTGCTTTGGAGCATCTTCTCGGTCCAACCACTGAGCTGGTCATCACTGTTGTTGTATAAAATACACTTTTTGTCAAACGTCACAATCCAACTAAGAAATGGTTCGTCGTCGTTATGTAGAATAAGAGAAGACAACACTTCAAAACGACGATTTTTAAAATTTTTGGTCAGCTCATGAGGCACCCACTTATCAAGCTTTTTCACCTTTTGGCAGGGCGTGGTGGCTCACGCCTGTAATCCCAGTACTTTCGGAGGCTGAGGCGGGCAGATCACTTGAGGCCAGGAGTTCACGACCAGCCTGGCCAACATGGTGAAACCCCAGCTCTACTAAAAATACAAAAAGTAATCGGGTGTGGTGGTGGGTGCCTGTAATCCCAGCAACTAGGGAGGCTGAGGCACGAGAATCACTTTAACCCGGGAAGTAGAGGTTACAGTGAGCCCAGATGGTGCCACTGCATTCCAGCCTAGGTGATAGAGTGAGACTCCATCTCAAAAAAAAAAAAAAAAAAAAAAAAAAAAAGAAGCTTTTGCACCTTTCCAACTTGCTTAAATTGCCAAACAAGCGTAGAATGGTTGACATTGAGTTCTTCGGTAATTTCTCGTGTAGTTGTAAGAGGATCAGCTTCGATGATTGCTCTCAATTGGTCAGTGCCAACTTCTTCTGGCCGGCTACTACACTCCTCATCTTCAAGGCTCTCGTCTCCTTTGCAACACTTCTTGAACCACCATTGCACAGTTCCTGGGCCAAGTGTGTAGTTGATGTTGCGAGTTGTCTCCACTGCTTTGCGACCCATTTTGAACTCAAGAAAATCGCTTGAATTTGCTTTTTTTTATAATATAATTTCCACTGTCTAACAGAATAAAACAGCAAATAATATGTTATTAGCAAAAAAGGTGAGAAATGTGCATTAAAATGGTATATAAATAACCACATATATTTAAGAATGTATTCCAGTATCAAATAGCAAGTTTCAACAATACGAAAACTGCAACTACATTTGCACCAACCTAATATAATTTTTTTTTAGTTAGAAATTTTATAGTACAGAATAACAGGCTTATCACACACACACACACACATCCTGTACTGAATCTACAAAGCCTGTCTCTGAATTCCAAAATCTCGACTTTTTTAGAGCAAAGTTTAAATATTTCAAAAATTTAGAAAAATATGGAGAATAATTTAACAAACACCAGGTACTAATTCAGTAGATTTTTTTTCTTTTTTCCTTTCCTTTTTTTTTTTTTTTTTTGAGATGGAGTCTCGCTCTGTCGCTCAGGCTGGAGTGCACTGGTGCAATTTCAGCTCACTGCAACCTCTGCCTCCTGGGTTCAAGTGATTCTCCTGTCTCAGCCTCCTGAGTAGCTGGGATTACAGGCACACGCCACCACACCCAGCTAATTTTTGTATTTTTAGTAGAGACTGGGTTTCACCATGTTGGCCAGGATGGTCTCTTATCTCTTCACTTCGTGATCTGCCCACCTTGGCCTCCCAAAGTGTTGGTATTACAGGCGTGAGCCACCGCACCCAGCCCATTCAGTAGATTTCATAGATGCTGACATCTTATCAGATTTGCTTCAAAAGTGTATTTATATATGTTTTTATTTATTATTTTTGAGATGGGGTCTCACTCTGTTGCCCAGCCTGGTGTATAGTGGTAAAATCCCTGCTCACTGCAACCGCCACCTCCCAAGTTCAAGCAATTCTCGTGCCTTGGCCTTTTGAGTAGCTGGGATTATAGGAGCTTGTCACTACTCCCGGCTAATTTTTGTATTTTTAGTAGAGACGGGGTTTCACTATGTTGTCCAGGCTGGTCTCCAACCGACCTCAAGTGATCTGCCCGTCTTGGCCCCCTAAAATACTGGGATTACAGGGGTGAGCCACTGTGCCTGGCCTAAATTTGTTTTTAAAAATAAAATATGCATACGGTTGGAGTCCCTTTTGTCATCCTCTTAGATCCTATTTTCTTATGCAGAAGTTATTTATCTTTTTAGCTCATGCACTTATATTCTTCCTACAAATATCTACATATATTTAACATGTAGTACTATTGTGTTTCAAATTTATGTGATATTTTGGTACATACATTCTGTAATTGGAAAGTTACATTTATTTATGCTGATATATGTGTATTATTAGTAGTATTATTATTATGATTATTTTGAAACAGAGTCTTACTCTGTCACCCAGGTTGTAGAGCAGTGGCACAATCTTGGCTCACGGCAACCTCCATCTCCCAGTTTCAAGTGATTCTCGAGCCTCAGCCTCCCGAGTAGCTGGGATTACAAGTGTGAGCCACTGCACCTGCCTTACTTCATTAATTTTAATAGCTGTGTAGTATTCAGTCATATGAATGAATAGTATGCAATTTTAGTTCTTTATTGATAGTTGTTTTCAACAAATATACAAATGTAAAATTTTTCCTCAAATTGGGTCAAGCTATATATATTGTTCTAAATTAGCTCTGTTTCTCGCAATAATAATAGTGTGCAGGTTTGTTACATGGGTATATTGCATGAGGTTTGGGGTACAATTGATCCCATCACCCAGGTAGTAAGCATAGCACCCAGCACGTAGTTTTGTTTAAGTTTTTTGAGACAAGGTAGGTCTCTGTCCCCCAGGCTGGATTGCAATATTGCAATCACTGGTCACTGCAGTTTTGACCTCTTGGGCTCAGCCGATCCTCCCAGCTCAGCCTCCGGGGTAGCTGGGACTACAGTGGTGGGCCACCATACCCTGCTATTTTTTGTATTTTTTTGTAGAGACTGGGTTTCGCCCTGTTACCCAGGCTGGTCTCGAACTCCTGGACTCAAGCAATCCACCCACCTTGGCCTCCCAAAGTGCTGGGATTATAGGCGTGAGCTACTGTACCCAGCCGCCAGTAGGCAGTTTTGAGCTTTCGCCCCTTCCCATCCTCTCCTCTCTGTTAGTTCCCTGTATCTATTGTTCCCATGTTTATGTCCATGTTTACCCAATGTTTAGCTTAGGATGATGATCTCCAGCTGCATCATGTTGCTGCAAAGGATATGATTTTGTTCTTTTTTATGGCTGCAGTGAACCTTTGGGTAAAGAAAATTTACAAAAATATCTCACATCAGTGTTTTTTTAATCAAAGTAAGTAGTAGTAATCCATAGTTCAGATCTACTTTGTAAGTGAGACACAAATAAAGACAGTAGTTACATTACACATTTTATAACATTACCTTGATGTGGCAAATTTTTCTTGTTTTGTTTTTGTTTTACATGAGTTAATTTGGATGAAACTTTCTTGAATTACTTACTTTTATAGCATTTACCTCCAGTGGGGTTGAGATGAGGAGCCTTCAATCCAACAAAGTTGTATACATGCATTCATGGAGATGACACTTAGGTTATTTAATCAGGAAACACTCCTGCTTGTCCACATGTAGATGCTACACGTGGAGTTAGTCCTATTCTTTGGAAGTTTCACTATGTTGCCCACACTGGTCTTGAACTCCTGAGCTCCAGTGATCCTCCCACCTTGGCCTCCCAGAGTGCTGGGGTTATAGATGTGAGCCACTGTGCCCAGCCAGAAATGTGATTTTAATTCCATAATATATGTTACTGTGAATACAGTATATGTTTATTCCATAAGTAGCAAATTGACTCCTTTAACAGTTTTAGTAGTTTTCCAGTTGTTTTGTCTTTAGTTTCCCAGGCAAATAATGCTATTGTCTTCAATCACAGTATTAATTAGTTCATCCCATTCTTCATATTGATCATTTTTTTGGATATGAAATAATACAGACTACTGTAATAATAAAAAGATGGAAAGCCTCACCAATTTGCATGTCATCCTTGTGCAGGGACCACGCTAATGTTCTCTGTATTGTTCCAATTTTAGTATATTTGCTGCCGAAGCGAGCACTCCATTTCTGTAAAGCTTAAAAAACAGACAAAACTAACAGATGGGAATGGAATCAGAATAATGGTTATCTTTGGTGATGAGGACAAGGGAGATTGTAGGTGTGCTGGTAATGTTCTCTGTCTTGATCTGGGTCATGATTTCATGGATGTGTTCAGTTTATGAGAATCATTGAATAGTAGACTTAGGAAGTGTGCACTTCTTTGTACATGTATTATATACCTCAGTTAAAAACTTTTGCCTCTCACAAAATTTTAAAGAACATAATCTGCTTAGTTTGTCACCTTTTAGCTTTTAATGTAACTTTTCCACTACTTCTCTTCATATGTGAATACAAGTGTATGTATTCATATGTGAATACAAGTGAATACTAGTGTATTAGGTAATAAGCCACTTAACCTTTCTATTATGATATAAAACATACAGAAGAGTGCACAAATCAAATGTATAGCTTAATGAAATTTTTAAATTATTAAATTGGAGGTTTTTGGGGGTGCATTATACCCGTATCTTTGTTAGGAGGGAAGGAATTCATGGAGGGCTAAAAATTTTGGAGAGGACAAAGTTTTAAGGAGTCTCAATACCAAATCCTCATCTTGGCTCTGCCTTCAAGTTACTGTTTCTTTGGGTAAGTCATTTAACTTATTTATAGTTCACTTTTTTATATATAAGAGGTAAAATACTTAACCTTTCTTTTGCAAACTGAATTAGGTAGGTGCAATTCAGGTAAAATAATAGGAATATAGAGTAGTATTACTAGATAGGTCTTTATTTAGGCCATTGAATTTAGGCCACTTACCTTACAGGGCAGAATTGTGGTATGCAAAGACTACACAGCTGGTGATTATTGGTGTCATTCATTTATGTTAGGTTGGTATTGAGACTTAGTTAACTATGCCAGGCATTACCCTGTGATTTATTATAATACATGTATTAACTCATGTAATAGTCTAGGATTATTCCTAGAGGTAGGTAAAATTATCCCAATTTTACTGATGATACAATCGATGGAAAATTAGGTTAAATAACTTGCCTAGGTGGGTTGAGTTCTTGAGCCTGTGCTTTAAAAAAAAATTTTTTTTTGAGAAAGGGTCCCACTCTATCACCCAGAGTGGAGTGAGTGGCGTGATCTTGGCTCACTGCAGCCTCTGTCTCTAAGGCTCAAGCCATCCTCCTGCCTCATCCCCTGAAGTAGCTGGGACTACAGGTATGGGCCACGTTTTAATGTATTTTATAGAGACGGGGTTTTGCCACATTTCCCAGACTGGTCTCAAACTGCTGGACTCAAGCGATCTGCCTTGGCCTCCCAAAATGCTAGGATTACAGGTGTGAGCCACTGCATCCAGCCTAAGCCTGTGCTCTTTTTTTGTTATACTGCCTAGTTATGTGAAAATACTTAAAGACTTTTAGGCAAATGTTAAGATTTTATAATAATCTGTTAGAGAGTTTTTGAAGTAAAAATTTTGGTATTTTGAACCAAAATTAGGAGAAGAGTCTCATTGTTTTGACCATCATGATTCTGGAAAAGATGGATGTTAATATTTATTACTTGGGCTTTATTCCCTTCTTAACAAAGCTAATTTTCTCCTAAAATGACTTGGTTGCAAGCACTAGGTAGTTTTCTTTAAGAATATATGTATATTTTAATCTTAAAGGATTTTGTGACTAATTTACAAATATTGTTTAATTTTTAGGCAAAATGTTAATGGAAGGGAGTTTTCAAACTTGGAGGCAGATCAGACCAAGGTTTAGTGTTCTTGCCTCAGTGGTTTAAGCAGCATCTATTTGGTCTTAGTATAAGAGTAATAATTATGATTCTATCATATGTATGGTTGAAAATTATCTTTATTAAGGTGTATTTGAATATGGTTCTGTAAGACTGGGAAACACATCTAGTTGTGCAACCACCATGATGATCAAGATATAGAGTTAGTTTCTCAAAAAATTTCCTCATGCCCCTTTCCATAGTCAGCCCATTTCCTTACCTCTAGTCTCTGGCCACCACTGATCTGTTTTTTTCTCTGTCTTGTCTTTTTTTTTTTTTCTTTTCAGAATTCCGTGTAAACAAAATCACGCAGTATTTAGCCTTTTTGTTTTAATTTTTGTTTGTTTAATAGAAATGGGAGGCCTTGTTATATTGCCTATGCTGGCCTCAAGCTCCTGGTCTCAAGGGATCCCCCTGCTTGACTCAGTATGTGGCTTCTTGAGACGGACGTCTTTTATTTAACCTAATGTATTTTGAGATTCATCCATGTTTTTATGTATCAGTAATTACTTTCTGTTGCTTAGTAGCATTGCGTTGTATGGATATACAACAGGTTCTGTATTCATTCCCCAGTTCATTTGGGTTGTTTCCAGTTTTTGGTAATTACAAATAAAACTGCCATAAAAGCATTCATGCATACATACATACACACATGTGCCCTCGTATTTTCTTATGGTTTAAAAAGATATGGTGCCTAGAACTTTTATAACTTTACTACAGAACCTGAAAAAGCTGATGATTTTCACAGAACATTGTAAATTGCTTAGTAAACTTCATCCCCCAAAAAGCCCACTCTGGAATGAGAATAATCTGTTTGTATAAATAATCTTGTGGTATAAACTGTAAGTCATTAGAATTTTTTAAATTAAAGAAGTACATACACATATTTATTTAATGGGTAAATTTATATATAAAACTCCTTAGTGCATAGTTTTATATTTTATGTTTTTAGTAGCTTTTAAATCGTGAATTATTGACTTTTTTGTTCCTCTAAGTAGTAGAATGGTTATATAATTGGTTATGAAAGTTTTTGTTTTTTTTTTGACAGGGTCTGGCTATGTCGTCCAGGCTGGAGTGCAGTGGCGTGATCTCGGCTCACTGTAACCTCTGCCTTCTGGGCTTAAGCTATCCTCAACTTCAGCCTCCTGAGTAGGTGGGACTACAGGCATGTGCCACCACACCTGGCTAATTTTTGTAAACACGGGGTTTTATCTTGTTGCCCAGGCTGGTCTCAAACTCCTGAGCTCAAATGATCAGCCCACTTCAGTCTCCCAAAAGGCTGGGATTACAGGTGTGAGCCACCATGCCCACCCAAAAACTCTTATAAATTTGAGATGAAAAATACACGGAACATGATTAATAGCAGATTAAACATTGCCAAATACAAGACATAGCAATAAAAACTATCCAAAAGGAAATAGAGTAAAAGGATTTTAAGAAACTAAACTGTAGAACACCTTCAAGCAGCCAATAATACATGTAATTTGAGTCCTAGAAGGACTGAAAAGAGGAGGGACAGAAAAAATAATACAAAAAAATGGCCAAAATGTTTTCAAATTTGATATAAACTATAAATCTCTTATCCAAGAAACTCAGTAAAGCCCACCTATAAGAAATATGAAGAACTCCACAAAGGTTCATAGTAATCAAAGTATTGAACCCTAGTGATACAGACATAGAGGGATGGGACACACCATACATAAAGATTAACAAAGGATGCTGCCAGAGTTCTCATCACAGATACCAGAATCTGGGAGGATATAGAAAAAATATTTTAAATTCTAAAAGAGGACATACTGTTAACTCTGAATTCTGTAACCAGTGTAAATAACTTTCCAAAATGAAGGGGAAATAAAGATATATCCAGGCAGAAAAAAACTGTAAGAACGTATCACCAGCAGACCTGCTGCACAGGAAATAAAATAGGAACTCCTCAGGCAGAAGAAAGATGATATCAGATGGAAATATTGATCTGTAATAAAGGATGAAGAGCTCTGGAAAGTAACTGTATAGGAAGATGTATAAGACCCCTCCATTAAAAAATCTTGAAATAATAATTGAATTTTATACAGAAATAACAACAGTGTTTTGTGTAGTTTGTAATTTATGTGTAAGTGAAATGCAGGACAACAATAGCGAAAGGCCAGGAAAGGAAAAATGAAAGCATGTTACTGGAAGGTTCTTACACCACACATGAAGTAAGATAACATGTGAAAGTAGGCTGCAGTAACTTAGAGTTGTAAAGCAACCACTGAAATAACAAAACAAAAAGTTTTGTTATCATATAAGCCAACAAAGAAGATGAGATGGAATAACAACAACAACAACAAAATCCAAAACAGGGCACTAAACAGGAAAGGGGAGCAAAGAACAGATGGATTGAGTAAAAGATGAATAACAAGATCACAGGTGTAACATAACCATTTCAAAAATCTTGTTAAATGTTCTAAGCATCCCAATTAAAAGGAGAGATTGTCAGCTTTGATGAAAAAAATGAAGACCCAAGTACATGCTGCCTGTGAGAAAGACATTTTAAATGTAAAGATACAAACATATTAAAAGTAAAAGATTGAAAAAGAGTTACCATGAATCAAATGAAAGCTGGAGTGGCTATATTCATATCAGATAAAGTAGACATCAGATAAGAGAATATCAGGGATGAAGAATGTCGTTTTATAAGGAGAACAGGGTCCGCTTCTCAGGAGGACGTGATAATTCTAAGAATAACAAGCACTACGTATGTCATCACAGAGCTTCAACACAAACGAAACAAACACCAATAGAACTCAAAAGAGAAATAGTTGTCTATTTCTCCACAGTTATAGTTGGGGATTACAATACTCACTATCAATAATTAGTAGAACAAGTAGAAAAAAAATCAGTGAAGATACAGCAGACTTAAAAAAATAAAACTATCAAATAACTTGATTTTATTGATATTTATAAATCAGTCCACCTGACAGTCACATAATATAAACTCTTCTCAAGCAAACACAGAATATTTATCAAGATAGAATACATTCTGTGCCAGAAAGCAAGTCTCAGAATATTTGGAGTGATTTAAGTCCTATGAAGTATGTTCTTGGACCACATTGGAAATAAATTAGAAGTTAATAATAATAACTTTTCTGGAAAAACGTCAAGTATTAAGATGATAAATTACACATGTCTACATATTGCAAGGGCTAAAGAAGATTTCAAAAGAGAAACCAATGCATTTTCAGCTAAGTGAGAGTGAAAACAATATTTCAAAATGTGTGGAATGCTGATAAGGCAATATTTATGTGTAAAATTATGGGATTAAACACTATAGTAGAAAAGAGAATAGATTTTAGATTAATTAACTACCCCAGCTTCTGCCTTAATAATTGGAAAAACAAGAGCAAATTAAACACAAAAAACAATTTTGGAAATACTAGAGATCAGAGTGAACATCAATAAAACAAAAAAAAATAGAGAAAAATCTATGAAACCAAATATTTATAAACTTCCAGCAGGCTGATCATCAAAACAAAAAAGAGACAAATTCCTAATATCAGGTATGAAAGAAACTATATCAGCACAGATTTTGTAAAAATTAAAAATGGAGTAAGGGAATACTGTGTACAGCATTACCTAATAAATTTTGTAACTGAGATGAAATGAGAATTTTTTTGAAAGATACAAATTGCTATAGCTCACTCAAGAAGAATCAGATAATTGAATAACTCTATATTTATTGAAGTAATTGAATTTTAATTAAATGCTCATCCTACAAAGGAAACTCTAACCCCAGATTGCTTCTCTGAAGTTTTTTGTTCAAACCTCTAAGGAAGAAATATTACCAATTATACTTAAACTCTTTCAGAAAATTGAAGAGTAGGAACTAGTTACCAACTTATTTTATAAGGCTAGTATCACCTTGATACCAAAGCTAGACTAAGATATTACAAAAAAACTATAAACAAATATTCTTTTTGAATTTAGATATAAAAGTTCTTTACAAAATGTTAGCAAATCAGTTCCAACAATACATAAAAATTATATTGTACCGTGGACAAATATAATGTATCTCAGAAAGGTTGGTTGGTTGAACATCCTCAAATCAATCAATGTATTGCACCATATTAATAAATGATCATGTCAATAGATGCAGTAAATACATCTGATGAAGTCATATATTTACATTTGGAACATTTAGAAGGGAGCTTCCTCATCCTGATAAAAGGCATCTGTGAAAAATCCTACAGCTAACATCATTGTTAGTAACGAAACACTCAATGCTTTCTTGTTTGTCTTATCAGGAACAAGATGGGATGTTTGCTCTCACCACGCTTACATTTAACATTGTTGTGGAAATCCTAGCCAGACAAGAAGCTGAGATAGAATACGTCCAGGATAGAAAGAAAGAAGCAAAACTGCACACAGACAAAATGAACATCTATGTAGAAAATTCAATATAAAATACAAAAAAAGCTATTAGAACTAATAAATGCGTTTAGCAAGGTTGCAGGATACATGAACAATATACAAAAACCAATTGCATTTTATACTAGCAACAAATAACCAGAAATTGGAATTTTAAAAGCAATGCCATTTAAAGTAGCATCAAAATATATTAAACTCTTAGGAATAAATCTGACAAAAGATGTGCATGACCTGTACACTGAAAACTGTGGAATACTGAGAAACATTAAAGATAACCCAAATACATGGAGAGATACACTGTCTTCATGCCCTGGAAACCAATATTTAGAACATAAATGTTCCCCAAATTGATAGATAGTTTCAACACAATCCTAGTCAAAATTCTAGCAGGATTTTAATATTTTTTGGTAGATATTGACAAGCTGATTCTGAAATTCATAAGAAAATGCAAACGATCTAGAAGAGCCAAAATAACTGAAAAAAGAACAAATTTGATAAATTAACTTTACCTGATTTCAACAATAAAACTATAATATATATGATATGAAATTCAGAACTGTATATACAGATACAAAAATATTTTGTGTATATCCATCTCTATATCTATGTGTCTGTTTATACATTTGCTGATATATATTGCAGGATCCTCTATTCTGTTGCTTTAATATATACAGTATTTCCAACAAGCTGCAAAAGCTGTCAACAAATTGTGCTAGAACCTCAGATAACCATATGCAAAAAAATCAACTTTTATCTATATTTCTTAGCATATATGAGAGTTAATTCAAAATAGGTCATGTAACTAAATGTAAACCTAAAACTAGGAAGTGCCTAAAAGTAAACAATGAAGAAAATCTTTCTGATTTTGGATAAGGCAAACAATTCTTTGATACAACATCAAAGCACAATGTATAAAACTTTTAAAAATGTGATAAAAGTTTGGGGCCAGCCACGTTGATTCATGCCTGTAATCCCCACACTTTGGAAGGCAGAAGCAGGTGGATCACAAGGTCAAGAGATTGAGACCATCCTGACCAACATGGTGAAACCCCTTCTCTACTAAAAATACTAAAATTAGCTGGGCGTGCTGGCTATACGAGCTGGGACCTGTAGTCCCAGCTACTCGGGAGGCTGAGGCAGGAGAATCCCTCGAACCTGGGAGGCGGAGGTTGCAGTGAGCCGAGATCGCACCACTGCACTCCAGCCTGGCGACAGAGTGAGACTCTGTCTCAAAATAAAAATAAAAATAAAAAATTGATAAAATTAAAAATTTCTGTTATTTGAAATTTACTGCTAAGAGAAGTAAACAAGCCACAGATTTGGAGAAAATATTTGCAAATCAGATATGACAAAAAAACCTTGTATCCAGAATGTATGAAGAATTTTAAAAACTCAATAATAAGAAAATAAATAACCCAAATTTTATTTTTTTCAGATGGAGTCTTGCTCTGCTGCCTAGGCTGGTGTGGAATGGCACAATCTCGGCTCACTGTGACCTCAGCTTCCCAGATTCAAGCGATTCTCCCCCCTCAGCCTCCCAATCCCCCACCCCCACCCCTGCGAGTAGCTGGGATTACAGGCACCCGCCATCATGCCTGGCTAATTTTTGTATTTTTGTAGAGACGAGGTTTCACCATGTTGGCCAGGCTGGTCTTGAACTGACCTCAGGTGATCCACCCACCTTGGCCTCCCAAGTGGTGAAATAACAGGTGTGAGCCACCGCTCCCCAACTCAACCCAAATTTTTAAAATGGGCGGAGTATTTGAACAGGTTCCTCAACAAAGAAGATACATGTGGCAAATAAGCGCACAAATGAATGCTCCACACCACTAGTAATTAAGGGAATTCAATTACTACTTACTGGAGGCTAAGAGACCAGTTAGGGGGTTACGGGAGAAATTGTGAATTAAAATTATGTATGATAGTAGCGGTGGGGATGGAGAGGAGAGGATATGAGGAATATTGAGGAGATAAAATTGCAAAAGCTTCACACTTGGTTGGAAGTGGAAGCTGACATGTAAGAGAATCAGCAATGATTCTCAGGTTTCCAACTTGAGCAAAGGGGCGGAGGCCACTGATAGACTCTGAGGTCATAAAACACAAGGTGGAGCAGATCTAGGCGGGTATGGAGGAAGAGATGTGACCATTGAAGTATTTTCTTTGTTGTTGTGTTGTTGGAATATTTCAAGTCAAATCCCTGACATCATGTTGTTCCATCTCTACACATTTGAACATGTATCACTAAAAGTAGGGACACTTTCTCCCATAATCACATTGCTGTGATCGCTCCTGAAGATGTACTCAATGATTCTGATTATCATCCCATACATAGTCCACAGTCATACATACTTGATTATCACAAGTATTTCTCTTTTTGCAGTCTGTCTATTGGAATCAGAATCCTGACAAGGTCCACCCTGCACACCACTTTCTCACAAAGGTCCTCTCATCCTGAGCAGTCCTCCCTGCCACTGATTTGTTGTCCTTCATAATGTCCCACAATCTGCACCTGTCTTTGTTCTCCCTCATGATACTGCTTCACTTCTATGCCCTGAATTTCCTATAATGGGGAAGGAGCTCTAAAGCCTGGTTGTAGGAACACTTCATGAACAGTACTGTGCATGGCACACAATCTCTAGCCATCCCACTTGTCACGCTAAAATCGATGACTCGCTTCTGGTAGTGTCAGCCTGACTCTTTGGACATGCTGAGTAAGCAGAGCGAGAAAGGAAGAGGGCTTCGACCAGAGGAAGAGGAGCAGAGAAAACAGGGAAGGAGAATTCAGGGAAGTGGGGAAAATCGAGGGAGCAGCAGCGTGGGGACTGAAGAAAGAAGGGTCAGGTGTCGCTGGGCAGCCAAGAAGAGACAAACAGGTCAGATGGTTTTCACAACTGATGGCTGATAACTTGTATGAGAGCAGCTTTAATGGAGTGATTAAGGTGTAAGTCAGATTGCCCTGTGATGGAGGTGTGAATAGGGGTGGGAAGTGGAGGGCAAGGAATATCAATAACAATTTCAGGAATTTGGCTGTAAGACAAGGGAAAAAGATGGGAGACGTGAGCATAGGAAGAGGGATGTTGAAAAAAGAGGTTGTGTTTATTCTGTGGCTCTTTTGATGGGAGACACATTCATGCTGGGAGGTTGAATATTTAGGAACCATAAGGAACTATTACTAACAAAGAAAGTTCCAAAAACATTCCTGGTTGGAAGGTTTCACTGTTTTGTTCACTAATTTCATATATTTTTCTAACTCTCTACAATTGCTTTTTGTTGTGAGCTCAACTGGTCTAGGAGACACAGATTTTGAAACGTGATGAAATTATTCAATAAAGCTGGTGTTAGATGCAGGTGTTAGAATGCATTTTTGTCAGACTTGGACCATATGAATTGAAGTTACTCTATCATCTGACTGATGGGCATCACTTGTTTTTGTCTATTTATTTGAACTGTATATATTCCAAAAATTTTTTGATGTAGCTGCTATATGATAAGAATATTGTAATGGGATTCTCCTGGGTTTCTAATCCAAAGTTTGTTTTTTTTAGAAAAATAAATTTGGACTTAGCAGATAAAAATCATGAATACTATATAACGCCATTTGTTAGACATTTTTGAAATGATAAAATTTTAGAAATGGAGGTTACTGATTGCCAGGGGTTAGGAAAGCGGAAGGAGGTGTGAGGGAGGGGGAGTGATTATAAAAGGGCTCTTGAGGGACCCACTGTGGTGCTGGAGCCATTCAGTATATTGACTAGTGGTGGATACATGAATTCACACAGGTGGTAGAATTATACAGACATTAATACACACACAGTGAAAGTAAAACTAGGAAAATCTGCCTAAGGTAAGTAGATGGAGTTACTGTCAATGTCCTTGTTTTGCAAAACATCACCATTGTGAGATCCTATTGAGAATCTGAAACACAGCCTTGGTTATATGCTTTTTTCTTTTTTTACCCTGTAAAAATGTTCCTTTTACCCTGTAAAGTGTTCCTTTTTATACTGGTAAGTATAAAAGGAACAAATTATACTGGTAAGTAAAAATTACTGATAAAGTAACTTTAAACTGAATATGGGAAATAACTGCTGTGCTGTATGGTATAAATAAATAATATATTTATCTATAACAATACTACTTTATATAATGGAACTAGATGTCACAAATGGCTCTAGTACTAGTAATGCAATTAATCAATATAATGTTTTGTAGGGTTTTGTTTTTTATACTCTTTGTTAAGCCTCCAAACTAGCAAGTACCCATTACAGTAAATGTACAATGGATTATTTCTGTTTCCGCGTTTCAGTCATTAACTCATTAGTTGCATAATCTTAAGGTCAAATTACCTTGTTGAAGGGGACAGTCTGGATCCATTCCGTGGAGCTCACATCAAAAACGTCTGCTGCATTTTCACTGTGCACTGAGAGGCACGGGGCATTGTAACCTGGGAGGAGCAAAGACGGTAACAGCAAACATGGGCTCCGTGATACCTTTTTCAGTGAATTTTTGATGAGATAATTATAGATTCACATGTAGTTGTAAAAATAATACAGAGAGATCCCTTGTACACTCTGCCCAGATTCAATTCACAACAAAATAAAACTTCAGTGTCTGGATTACAAATAATTTAAAACATAGCTAAAAATGTAAAAGTAAAAACCTGCCGTTTTGCTAAGACCAGACCATCAAATATTTAAGAGCATTTAACTTCCAGGACTTGTGGAGTATGCATGACATGAGCCACCAAAAAGAAGTTTTTAAAGGAAGAGTTAAAATAAGTGAAATTTTTTTCTACCTTCATCAGTATAAGCAGTGGAAAACACTTTTGAAAGGGCTGTCCCACCACATAAAACGTTACATTTGTGCTTTTCCAGCATTCTTTTTTTTGTTTGGTTGTATGTTTTTATTTTTTATTATACTTTAAGTTTTAGGGTACATGTGCACAACGTGCAGGTTTGTTACATGTGTATACATGTGCCATGTTGGTGTGCTCCACCCATTAACTCATCATTTAACATTAGGCATATCTCCTAATGCTATCCCTCCCCCCTCCCCCCACCCCACAACAGGCCCCAGTGTGTGATGTTCCCCTTCCTGGGTCCATGTGTTCTCATTGTTCAGTTCCCACCTATGAGTGAGAACATGTGGTGTTTGGTTTTTTTGTCCTTTCGATAGTTTGCTGAGAATGATGGTTTCCAGCTTCATCCATGTCCCTGCAAGGGACATGAACTCATCATTTTTTATGGCTGCATAGTATTCCATGGTGTATATGTGCCACATTTTCTTAATCCAGTTTATCATTGTTGGACATTTGGGTTAGTTCCAAGTCTTTGCTACTGTGAATAGTGCCGCAATAAACATACGTGTGCATGTGTCTTTATAGCAGCATGATTTATAATCCTTTGGGTACATACCCAGCAATGGGATGGCTGGGTCAAATGGTATTTCTAGTTCTAGATCCCTGAGGAATCGCCACACTGACTTCCACAATGGTTGAACTAGTTTACAGTCCCACCAACAGTGTAAAAGTGTTCCTATTTCTCCACATCCTCTCTAGTACTTGTTGTTTCCTGACTTTTTAATGATCACCATTCTAACTGGTGTGAGATGGTATCTCATTGCGGTTTTGATTTGCATTTCTCTGATGGCCAGTGATGATGAGCATTTTTTCATGTGTCTTTTGGCTGCATAAATGTCTTCTTTTGAGAAGTGTCTGTTCATGTCCTTCACCCACTTTTTGATGGGGTTGTTTTTTTCTTGTAAATTTGTTTGAGTTCATTATAGATTCTGGGTATTAGCCCTTTGTCAGATGAGTAGATTGCAAAAATTTTTCTCATTCTGTATGTTGCCTGTTCACTCTGATGGTAGTTTCTTTTGCTGTGCAGAAGCTCTTTAGTTTAATTAGATCCCATTTGTCAATTTTGGCTTTTGTTGCCATTGCTTTTGGTGTTTTAGACATGCAGCCCTTGCCCATGCCTATGTCCTGAATGGTATTGCCTAGGTTTTCTTCTAGGGTTTTTATGGTTTTAGGTCTAACATGTAAGTCTTTAATCCATCTTGAATTAATTTTTGTATAAGGTGTAAGGAAGGGGTCCAGTTTCAGCTTTCTACATATGGCTAGCCAGTTTTCCCAGCACCATTTATTAAATCGGGAATCCTTTCCTCATTTCTTGTTTTTGTCAGGTTTGTCAAAGATCAGATGGTTATAGATGTGTGGTATTATTTCTGAGGGCTCTGTTCTGTTCCATTGGTCTATATCTCTGTTTTGGTACCAGGCGCCTCCGCAACCTCCCAGGAGCTCTGACCAAGGCGCCTCACTGGGGTGGGGAACTTGCCTCACCTGGGGCCATTTCATAATTCTGAATCATGTGTGATAACGGAGAACTGGAAGACAAGCCTCCAGCACCTCCCGTGCGAATGAGCGGGACCATCTTTAGCACTGGAGGCAAAGACCCTTTGTCAGCCAATCACAGTTTGAAACCTTTGCCTTCTGTTCCAGAGGAGAAAAAGCCCAGGCATAAAATCATCTCCATATTCTCAGGCACAGAGAAAGGAAGTAAAAAGAAAGAAAAGGAACGGCCAGAAATTTCTCCTCCATCTGATTTTGAACACACCATCCATGTTGGCTTTGATGCTGTTACTGGAGAATTCACTGGCATGCCAGAACACTGGGCTCGATTACTACAGACCTCAAATATCACCAAACTAGAGCAAAAGAAGAATCCTCAGGCTGTGCTGGATGTCTACGACTCCAACACAGTGAAGCAGAAGTATCTGAGTTTTACTCCTCCTGAGAAAGATGGCTTCCCTTCTGGAACACCAGCACTGAATGCCGAGGGAACAGAAGCACCTGCAGTAGTGACAGAGGAGGAGGACGATGATGAAGAGACTGCCCCTCCCGTTATTGCCCCACCACCGGATCATATGAAATCAATTTACACACGGTCTGTAATTGACCCTGTTCCTGCACCAGTTGGTGATTCAAATGTTGATGGTGGTGCCAAGTCTTTAGACAAACAGAAAAAGAAGACTAAGATGACAGATGAAGAGATTATGGAGAAACTAAGAACTATTGTGAGCATAGGTGACCCTAAGAAAAAAATATACAAGATATGAAAAAATTGGACAAGGGGCTTCTGGTACAGTTTTCACTGCTACTGACGTTGCACTGGGACAGAAGGTTGCTATCAAACAAATTAATTTACAGAAACAGCCAAAGAAGGACTTGATCATTAATGAGATTCTGGTAATGAAAGAATTAAAAAATCCCAACATAGTTAACTTCTTGGACAGTTACCTGGTAGGAGATGAATTGTTTGTGGTCGTGGAATACCTTGCTAGGGGGTCACTCACTGATGTGGTAACAGAAACCTGCATGGATGAAGCACAGATTGCCGCTGTATGCAGAGAGAGTTTACAGGCATTGGAGTTTTTACATGCTAATCAAGTGATCCACAGAGACATCAAAAGTGACAGTGTACTTTTGGGAATGGAAGGATCGGTTAAGCTCACTGACTTTGGTTTCTGTGCCCAGATCACCCCTGAGCAGAGCAAACGCAGTACCGTGGTCAGAACGCCATACTGGATGGCACCAGAAGTGGTTACACGGAAGGCTTATGGCCCTAAAGTCAATGTATGGTCTCTGGGTATCATGGCTACTGAGATGGTAGAAGGAGAGCCTCCATACCTCAATGAAAATCCCTTGAGGGCCTTGTGCCTAATAGCAACTAATGGAATCCCAGAACTTCAGAATCCAGAGACACTTTCCCCAATATTTCGGGATTTCTTAAATCGATGTTTGGAAACAGATGTGGAAAAAAGGGGTTCAGCCAAAGAATTATTACAGCATCTTTTCCTGAAACTAGCCAAACTGTTATCTAGCTTGACACCACTGATCATGGCAGCTAAAGAAGCAATGAAGAGTAACCGTTAACATCACTGCTGTGGCCTCATATTCTTTTTTCCATTTTCTACAAGAAGCCTTTTAGTATATGAAAATTATTACTCTTTTGGGGGTTTAAAGAAATGGTCTGCATAACCTGAATGAAAGAAGCAAATGACTATTCTCTGAAGACAACCAAGAGAAAATTGCAAAAAGAAAAGTATGACTTTTATATGAACCCCTTCTTTAGGGTCCAAAAGGAATTGTGGACTGAATCACTAGCCTTAGGTCTTTCAGCAAACCGCCTATCAGGGCCATTTATCATATGTGAGATTTGCATTTTACTTTGCTGACTTTGTTGTAATAGATCCCATTCATTGTCCCCTTTGGGGTATTTCCAATACTTGAATGGCAGATTGGAGTTTTTCAGAGTATTTGTTTCATCTGCTAGTCTTTCTCTCCTTCATAGCTTTCCTTTTCCTGGACTTGCTCCTTTTGAGTTGCTTTTGAGTTTCTCATGCCTAGGTAAGTGTAATAGAAATTATGTAGCTCCTTATGTTGGCAAAGGAGCTCTATATAGTTTCACTTTTTATAAAAGTTAGGACCAGCTGTTGTTACATGTAATATTTTAGTTCAGAACTTGACCTGAAGGAAGGGAAGAAAAGTATTTGATTTTTACCTTTTTTAATAAATGTGAAAAAGTCAGTTTTAGAAATTTTGTGGTAGTAAGTTTGGCATTTGTTACATGTATAGAGAGAAGACTAATAATCTCTATTTATAACTAAATCATTGAGATAGAAAAAGATTCCCATTGACCGTGTATTTCTTCCCATTTCGTCTTCCCTTCTGCCTGTTTCCCCTTCAGGCTTGGCTCTAGGAACCAAAGTGATTTGTTCTTGTTCCAACCTGGGCTTTGTGACTTTGGTTAGTGCCACTACCTTCTTCCCTCCTTTCCCCCTTCAATTTGGAAATAAATTTCTGTATATGTTGCAATTTTAGGTTTATTTTTGTTCTTTTTGTTTTTCATTAATCCTCTTTCACCTCACAGATACCCCCCTCCCATGGCAAATAATATAATAACCAGTGAATTTTCGGGAATTTAAAATTAGCTTTTTTCCACTTAAAGGAGAACAATATTTGGGACTAGCAGGCGCAGAGTGAGAGACGTGAACCTTGGTGATCTCTGATATAGTGAGAAGAGATTATACTCATGAAAGAGAATGTTAGTGTTACAGAGAAGCAGCCGATAGGAAATCAACTGTAGAGACTTGGAGGCGGCGGCATTGCTCCAGGTCATCATCAGTGTGGTATTATCTATGAGAACTTGAGCGACAGAGTATTTCTTGATGAATTTATAGATCATTTGAGATGTTGAGTTACTTTTGTTTTGTTTTCAAATAGGTAGAGACTATTAATGTAAAAACACAAGAAAGGAAAATGAAATGTGCGTGTTGAGAGCAATAATTTGTTTCTTTTAAAGATTCTGAAAGATCTGAGACCTGTAGCATTAATTATTTGAGTGCCCTCCCTTCTCCCCTCCCCTCCCTTTCTCTTCTCTTCTTTCATCTCCTCTCCTTCTCCTTTATTCATTGTTTTGCTTTGGAATAGGTTGTTCAAGTATTTGGTTTGGTTCTGGCATTTTGTTCCCACCATCCCCTTCCCCCATTAACTTCCCCCCTGCTTGCCATCCTGCAGTAGTATAAATCATGAATAAAAAATAATTTTGCTGTTGTAGTATACATTGGGGAAACTAGCAGGGTTTTATTTCCGTTATTTTATTCCCACTATATCTATGATAAGATACAATTATAAGGAGAGAAGTGACTGTTTTTTATTGATAAGGCAAGATTTTCAGAAAAATGAGTAAAATAATTAATGAAACATATTTAGAGCACTTAATGGTCTCTGTTTTCAATATAATTCTTGATTTCATTTTTCTCTGGAATATATTGGCCTTCTACAGCTATTACTGAATTACAGAAACTGGTTTATTTCTGTCAGAAAGCTGCAGTGCCACCTGAGTTCCAAATTTTAACATTCTTTGTAAATGGATGGATTATGATAAAGAAGATGCTACCAATGAAATAGAAAACCAACGAGATGAGAAGACTGTGATCCTCATGCACTCAGAGGCACTTCCCTTCTAAGTCAAAGACCATTCTCACTGACTATGTGCCAAGGCCTCACTTCAGGCTTGTGACTCAACAAAGGGCTTTTCCATTGATAGAAGCAGTTTGGGATTTGTAGCTACAACTTCTTCAATAGTTACCTGCATGTCCATTGCTGGCAGCTGACTTCAGTCATTAAAACCTGGCTCTTTGGTTAAGGGAGCTACACTGTGGTTTATTCTTAAGTTACATGGATAAACTAACCTCTAGCAGAAATATAGTTTGGTTAATTTTGAGATGTGTCATTTTTAAACAAAATCTTAAAAGCAATACAGAATTGTGATTTATTAATTTTAAATTAAAACATTGAGAACTTGTTGAAAGAAAAATTATATCTGAATCAAGATTCATGTTTTTTATTTTTTATTTTATTTTTTTTTTTTTTTGATACAGAGTCTCACTCTGTCACTTAGGCTGGAGCGCAGTGGCATGATCTCAGCTCACTGCAACCTCCGCTTCCTGGGTTCAAGCAATTCTCATGCCTCAGCCTCCTGAGTAGCTGAGACCACAGGTGCGTGCCACCACACCCAGCTAATTTTTTGTATTTTTAGTAGAGACAGAGTCTCACCATGTTGCCCAGGCTTGTCTCCAACTCCTGAGCTCAGGCAATCTGCCCACCTTGGCCTCCCAAAGTGCTACAATTACAGGCACGAGCCACTACACCTGGCCTCATGTTTTTTAAATAATTGCCTTTTATATTTACCCTTTTTGTCATCACTTTAGAATGAAAATTCCCATTTAAATCTAAAAGTTACTTTAATAGTCCTCTTGTGTTATTAGGACAGTGTTACTATAGTACTTATTTATTATATTTTAGACTTTTTCTTTTTTCTTCTGCTGCTTTTAGGGACAGTTAAAACTGGGAAACTATGAAACATGGAACATTTTATCCTACCTAGAATAGTAAATGAGTAATTGTGAAGCGTAAGACACCGAGGCTAATACAACTCTGTCTTCATGTGTCGAGTGCCTGGCACATAGTACTAATTCTCTTCCCTTTAACATATAAATGTTAAGCTGCTTAGAGTCTAGTAACCACCAACTGTAAATGAGCCTGTGCCTTTAACAAGAAATTTTAAACTACCTATGAGTATTTCTTTATAGGGCTCACTTAAATACGTTTGTATATACTGTATTCTAGCCAGAATAATTTTAGATCTGATCAGGTAGTAGCTAAAATTAGAAAAAAACAAAATAGATGCTTAAAGAATTTGCATCCATTTTTGAGTCTAAATCTTTTTAAATATACTGAGATCCACATCTAGTGAAATGTCAGTGTCAAAATATTATAGATTATAGCTAAAATCCAGATTAATACTCATTTGGGGTTTTTTATAGTGGAACTTCATAGTAATACAAGAAGCAGATTGTCTTCCTGTCTCTGCTGCTCCCACAGTAGGTATTGAAACTGGTGAAATCAGTTTTTTGATAGTGTGTGTATATAAGAAAAAATATATACACACATTCTTTTTTCTCAGTCAACACACTGATTGAACACTCTGGCAAAGATGCTGTGGTAGACGAGGTTGGAGTTAGAAAGAAGAAGCAAACACTGGCCTGGCCTTGAAAGAACGGAAGTCTTTCCCATTCACTTCTCTAGAATGCTGCCAAGACAGAGGCAGAAAGAAATGGATGATAATTCTGTCAAGCACACTTCTATTCTTTATTAAGAGAAACAATTATGTTTGGAATTCAGCATCTTTGGTTGGAACGCATTGGCTTTTTTTTCTTGTTGTGATAGAAATGGAATTAAGTAAAATTATAGTTTGTCTTTTCTGTTGTCTTCAAATTTTATAATGTCTTTTATTTTTAATTTAATCCCATTCAATTATTTAATTGTTATACATTGACATTAACTGCTGTATTTTATGACTTTGTTCAATAATTTTGTTCTTTCAGGGCTAGAAATAAACTTTTTTAAGAAATGTGCATTTTTCCCTTTCCTAAACTTTTATTCTTTCTTTTGATCAGAATAGCATAAAAGAATAGTTAAATGTCTTAATAGGTTTTCAAAGAACATTCTAGTATCTTTAGTGATAAATGTTTTAAACCTTTAAAAAAAATAGAATAGTATAGCACTGGCACATGAATAAGCAAATCTAGAGAATAGAGCACGGAATCTAGAATTACATCCAAGTACACATAAGAGCCTTATATATGACAAAATGAGCTTTTAATTCAGTACATCTCCATTAAAAACCCCATGTAAAAATACAAATTTAGACTATTTATATATTTTTTAAAGTTCAGGTGAATTAAATATTTTTGTTTTGTTTTGTTTTTTGAGACAGAGTCTCACTCTTGCCCAGGCTGGAGTGCAGTGGCACGATCTCGGCTCACTGCAACCTCCATCTCTGGGGTTCACGCCATTCTCCTGCCTCAGCCTCTCGAGAAGCTAGGACTACAGGCGCCCGCCACCACGCCTGGCTAATTTTTTGTATTTTTAGTAGAGATGGGTTTTCACCGTGTTAGCCAGGACGGTCTCAATCTCCTGACCTCGTGATTCGCCCGCCTCGGCCTCCCAAAGTGTTGGGATTACAGGCGTGAGCTACTGCGCCCGGCCAATATTTTTAAATAAACCTATAAAAATTCCAGAAGGAAGCCCTTGGTGAAGATCTTCTCACTTAAGAACGACAGAAAACAAACCACCTATTTTATAAAAAACAAGTATATCTCGCTATGTAAACCATAGCAGAAAGACAAACTAAAGACTGGAAAAAATATTTACAGTATATATAATATCTAAAAGTTGATCATATTAAAATGGACATATGCAAAGGCTACGAATTGCCAATTCATAGTAGACGGTATGCAGACCCATCATTTGAAGAGATGCAAGTAGAATTCTTTTTTCTTGTTCCAACAAAATCTAGATAATTCAAATTAAACTAAAATGGCATCATTTTTAGCCTTCAGGTGAGCAGCAATAGAAAACAAAATATTAACTCAGTGCTGGCAATTGGCACTGTTACCATTCTAAATCACCACAAATATTTTAGAAATAAATTAGCAATTATCTATTAAAATGAAAACTGCATATACCTTTGACCCAAAAATCCTATTTTCAAAAATGTATCTGACAGAAAAAAAACAAAAGCATCAGCATATAGTGATACTTCTACAATGGTGTTTACTGAAATATTATTTATAGTGACAAAAATAAAAACTGAAGACATTCAGATGTCTATTAGCAGGGAAACACATCTGAATAATGTATATTTTATTTTACTTTTTTCAGGCAAGAAAGCTTACATACATTTATTTTTGTTTATATATGTTTGTGTGTACCAAAAAGGATGATAGAAGGATGTTCTGTGCATATTAAATTGGTTACTCAGGAGGGTGAGGGGGTAAGGGGATACTACTAGTTTTTCCTATATTTATCCTGGTAATGTCTCACTTGTTAAAAGGAACATATACTGCAGAATCATGAAAATTCATGCCTAGAATAGACTTTAAAGATATCTTGTCCACTCATCTCTTTTGCAAACCAGTAAACTAAGCCCAATATTAAAATACCCAAGGTTATGCACCCATGGCTCAAAATTAAGAGTTTTTGACTCCCAGATCGGCATTCTTCCAATTCAAAATATAAAATCAAATTCTGAAAATAAGTAGCAGCTAACTCTATAGTAACCTCCTACTTGAGCCTAATAATTTATGTACTGAATGCTTCTCTTTCAGTCTGTGTGGTTTACATGCACGTATATACATATTCTTTCCCTAAGAGTTTTGTCTAGCATATGCTGTGTTTAAATTCAAATGAATTAATTTTTAAAATCAGTACCCCTTTAGGTAAATGAAGCTATCTCTGTTGTCAAAAGATCAAAGACAAGCTACATATTTAAACATTATATATTCAAATTATTTAACAACTGTTATGATACAGGCACCACACAGCTGTCAGACACTGGCGCAATCAAACCGGGCAACAGCCATTCTGGTGTAAACATCTGTGGGAAACAAAAATAGCCCAGGCCGGGCGCAGTGGCTCACGCCTGTCATCCCAGTACTTTGGAAGTCCAAGGCGGGCAGATCACCTGAGATTGGGAGTCTGAGACCAGCCTGACCAACATGGAGAAACCCCATCTCTACTAAAAATACAAAATTAGCCGGGCGTGGTGCCGCATGCCTGTAATCCCAGCTACTCGGGAGGCTGAGTCAGAAGAATTGCTTGATCCCGGGAGGCGGAGGTTGCGGAAAGCCGAGATCGTACCGTTGCCCTCCAGCCTGGGCAACGAGTGAAAATCTGTCTCAAAAAAAAAAAAAAAGTCTGCCTTGCCCAAAGCTTAAATATGCTGTCATATCTTCAAAAAGATAAGAATATCTTACCTGAAAATTTCATCTATACTAAACTCAATTTCCTACTAATGAACAGTTTGTCAAATACATTTTTGTTTTTACTATGGGTCTCGTTGTTAATGAATATGACATTATAATAATCTGACATAATACTGACATCATAGTTTAACTGTATGAATAAATGGTGTTTTCACATATAGAGCAAGAATATATACATTCACTCCACAAGTATTTACTGAATGCCTTCTACTTCAGGTATTTCCCTAAATGCTGGGAGTGCTTCAAAACAGATTTGATTCTTGCTTTCATGGAGTTCACGATCTATGAGTGAGACAGACATTAATCAAGTAAACAAGTGATAATACAATTATAAATTGTGAACAGAACAAGGTGCTGTAAAGTAGAATGACAGGGTGAGGGGTGTTCAGTCTATAAATTAGATGATCAGAAATGGCCTTTCTGGTGAACATGACATTTTCATTTGATCGGATTAAGAAGTCAACCTTGTGAAAGTAGGGAACAAGTTCTCCAGCCAGAGTGAGCTGTTTCTTACTAATGTGACTGGCTTGTTTTATCAAAATGAATCATAATGTTTAGTTGGTACTTCATCAGTACTCAATACATATTTACTTATTGAATCTAATGATTAGATTCTGCATGCTCTTCCATCTCTCTTATAAAAGGGCTTCGTGTTGGACTATGGTACAATTAGGCACTTTAAGAAACAACAAAATATTTTGAAGTAAGTTCTACGTATTTATTTGCCACTAACACACTGACTGTAAAAGATATGAAGCATATATACAGAAATTACCATAACCAAATATATATGCAATTAACCTTTTATATAGCTGTGTCTTTATGGTTTCCATCTTTTCTCCTCCCACCTCTGAAAATGTTTACAATTTGTAATCTCCCTCTCAGTACTGCCTGTAATGATATGGAATGATACCCATCCAGAGGAAGGGGTTGTAAGGGGTCACAGAGGTTTGCATTAGAAGAAGTAAAGTTTGAAAACCTTCCCCACACATTCAGTTATGCCCTCTTCTAGGGCATATCCTTCCGCTTTTCACTTAGGAACTATTCTGGTCTTTTTAGATGTCATACTTCCATAAATCTGCACAGTATATTCATTCATCTCCACTAGCGAAAAGTTCCACATTTTATATTAATTTTTTTTTTTTTTGGAGACAGGGTCTTGTTTTGTCACCCAGTCTGGAGTGCAGTGGTACAATCACAGCTCACTGTAACCTCAAACTCCTGGGGCCAAAAATGATCCTCCTATCTCAGCCTCCCAAGGAGTTGGGACTACAGGTGCACACTACCATGCCCGGCTAATTTTCTAACTTTTTATAGAGACAGGGTCTTCCTATGTTGCCCAGGCTGGTCTCAAACTTCTCGCCTCGAGGGGTCCTCCCATCTTGACCTCCCAAAGCACTGGGATTACAGGTGTGAGCCACCACACACAGCTTACGTTAATTTCTTCAAATAAAATATTTTTTCATAGGAAAAAAATTATCGTGGGGTTTTGTTGATATAGGAGTTAAGAAGAAATTAGTTAGGCAGATAGTGAGGGTACAGGAGTCCTTGGTAAGTTTTACCTTTTAATTAAAAGCAGCCCTCAAATCATTTGTTTTCCTAACAAAGAGCAGACTGTAAAATGAAGTTGCAGACATAGGCAAGCGAAGTGGAAGCCTGCACAGGCAAATGCGTGAAGTTGTGCCAATAGGAAAATACTACCTGGAATTACATGTTCAAAACGAGAGCTCTATCTTCCCTTCTCTTTGCCAGCCACGTGTACAGTAAAGAGTAGACGAGATGGCGCTGAGCAAGTGGAAAGCCCATTTGCATAAGATTAGGGTGGGGCAACCAGCCTTCCCAGCGCCCTGTAAACTTCACACCTGATCAAACCAATCTGTGGCCCCCACGTAAATCAGACACCAACTCCTCAAGCCTGCCTCCCTGCTGCTGCCAGCTGTTCCCTTTTGGTCTCTCTCTGTCTCTGACTCTGTCTCTGTGTCTCTCTCCCCTCCCCCCTCACCTTTCTCTTCTGTCTCTCTCTCCTCTCACTTCTCTCTCTCTCTTTCTCCTCTCTCTTACAAGAGAGAGATTGCATTATCATCCAATGTCGTTCAAGAAATAGAACGTTTATTGTGTACGTTTTACAAGTTCAGCACTGTGCTAGCCTCTGTGGGGATTCCCAAAGCAGAAAGTAGACGGGTGCCATAGGATGCGCAGAAGGAAGCGCTGGTGTAGGTGTGGTCCACCGATGATGGGAAAGGAAACGGAGCTTGCCTTGGTGTCATTACCAACAGGTTTGTGATATGTATACATTTCTGGATGCAGTATGGTTAAACAGGGGCATTTAAAAGAGCCCCCACCGCAGAGGGTGAAAATGTAGACCAAAAAAAAATTTTTCATTAAAAAGCAAATTTTCACTAGTGGCTCTGTAACTATGAATTTAAATTTTAAATTTCCTGATAACTTTTCAACCATGAAGACTGAGAGCCTGGCCGAATTATTTGGTTCTGTGCCCAAAGATTGGTAATAGAGTCACATAGAATAATTTTTTCTCCTCTTTAAAGATGAATCAGAGGATGCTGGGTTTCACTGAACATTTCTGAAGATTTTCCACACCACAAAGCCCTCCAGGCACAGCTCAGCATTTTGTAGACCAGCATTAAATCTTAAAAGAAGTAAAATGCTGCCTTCTCGTGGCCCATGTACAAAACTGATGAAAACAGTATTGTTCCTTCCTGTTATTGAAAAGCAGCCAAGTCCAAAGCAGAGAGCAGCAGTATTTAGATTTTAAATGAGTTTGCAAATAAAAAGACAAGAGTACCTTAATATGACATGAGCAAACCTTTCAGGAAATAAAATTTTGAATCAGATCAGATCAAAGTGTTCCAAAATGGGGCTTAATACTGTAATTACCACCATGACTCTGCATATATGCAGATTTTCCCCCAAGGAGCTCAAACTTTGACTCAAAATCCAGTAATCTTGAATCCTGGTCTAATCCTTACCATCTAAAGAAAGCACACTTATTTAGAGTAATTGTTCAATAGAAAATTTATCAGGTCCTTCCTCATCCTGCCCCCAGCCAGATGTGTTCTCTTCCTGCTCTGAATTCCAATAAGACATAATGCTACATGTATATGGGTCTCTTTTTCTGTCCACAAGTAATAGTTTTAGAACCTTTGTGGCCTCTAAGATGGGCATGACACATGGTGCATGCTTAAGAAGTGTTTGAATAAATTAATGAATAAATAAATGGGAATTAAATGATGAATAAATGTATAGCTGTGATAAATATTCCCTATTTCCCTTATTTAAGCCAAAAAAAAAAAATACTATTTGTTGTGCAAATACCAATGCCTGCAAGGCTTGTTGCACTGGCTCAGAGGCCATGCGACATATCTTTGAAAACAGTCAGGAAGGCAAGAGTGGCTCCAAATCAAGCCTGGGTGCATTACCGTACTTTGTGGACATCAGGAATGGGCACTCTGGCTCTGCCTACTCCTGGATAGGCCCTACAATGATTATACAGGTTCTGACACATAAAAGCAGGGGAGAAGAATACCTGAGAAACAGATTAAGGCAGGGTTCCTCACCCCACTGCCCACAGGAAATTCTCTTCAGTGGGCCACAGAGCTAAATGTACAAGCCAAATGCTTCCTGAAAGGTGGGTGCAGATGTAGTAAACAATAGCCTATGTAAGCACCACTGAACCACATCAGTCTAGAAGTTTCTGTTTCTGATTCAGGCACTGATCCCAGGTCAGGTGCTCTGTGAGTGCTAGCTGGGAGTGGTGGTGATGGTGGTGGTTGAGATATGACAACACATAACAATATTAGATGCCTATTAGGTTCAGGCTGTAAATGACTCCTGCTTGCCCTTGGACAAGCAAGCTGGGAATGTGTGAATGTCAGCAGTGGGTATTTATACTTGGCGCCAGACTTCTCCAGACAAGTTCTTACTTGTTCCCCTCCACCAGTGGTTGCTTGAGCCTTTCTGCTGTTTAGCCTCATTCCTTTAAGCTGTGAACCCAGACTCCTATTTTGAGTCCTTTTATAGATAACTTGATTCAGTCACAATGCAACAGACTCCAGGACAGCTTTTTTTGTCTCTGTCTCTGGCTCCCAGCACCACAGCGTAAATTTAAAAAAAAAAAAAAAGACTCCCTGCTGTGCGCTTCTTGGGCACTGTGACAGCTGAAGGACAAGCCTGCCTTTCAGCCAGGATTCCATTTCCCTAGAGAATATTAGGTATTGGATGAGATAGGAGATGAGAGGTAAAAATGAACACTGGCGTGCGCGCGCACACACACACACACACACACACACACACTTCTAATTGCCAAACTTCTCTAAAGGATGCTTGAGACCTGTCCCACTTTCTTTAGCATTTACTAATTCCTTGACTTCCTCTGACCACAATACCCAGGCCTCTCTCTTATGGAGTTCTAGTGGCCCCCTTGCTGAACATCATGGTCTTCTCTCAGTTCTTATTCTCTTTGACATCTTGCCAACATCTCACTTTTCTGACAACCTCAATTGCCTGTTCCTGGAACAGTCTTCTAATTTTCCTCCCAAGACTAATCACAAGTTAGTAAGAATCCAAGCAACTTTCATTTCTTTCATTCATTTATTTATTTTTTGAGGCAGAGTCTTGCTCTGTTGCTCAGGCTGCAGTGCAGTGGTGTGATCATGACTCACTGCAGCCTCAAATCCCTGAGCTCCAGCAATCCTCCCATCTCAGCCTCCCAAGTAGCTGGGACTATGGGTATGCGCCACCATACCCAACTTTTTTTTTTTTTTTGTAAAGGCAGGGTCTTAATATGTTGCCTAGGCTGGTCTCAAACTCCTGGGCTCAATCAGTCCTCCCACCTCATCCTCCCAAAGCACTGGGATTACAGGTGTGACCACTACACACAGCCCATTTCTTTTACAGTGTCCCAACATTTCAGTATGTTTTAAATATTTATTGCTTCTAAATTAAACGTTTAATACATATTCACAAAATATAGAGACATGATCTCATTTAGAGATCCAAATGTGAAGCCTGTGTGACTGTGAAGGCCCCCTGTGATGGGGCCGTTGTAATAGGTTTCTCTTACCTCTCTACCTGGCTTTCACATCTCCTTCAGTAACTCTCTTCCTCTTCTTGCTGCAAGACTGGGTCCTCAATCCCCATCTCTCTCCACTTACTTCCCCTTTGCCTACCAATCCTGCCTTCTAGCTCCAGTTGTCTTTTTTTTTTTTTTTTTTTTGAGATGGTGTTTCACTCTTTTGCCCAGGCTGAAGTGAAGTGGTGCGATCTCAGCTCACTGCAACCTCCACCCCCCGGGTTCAAGCAATTCTCCTGCCTCATTCCCCCGATTAGCTGGGATTACAGGCACCCACCACCAAGCCCAGCTAATTTTTTGTATTTTTAGTAGAGATGGGGTTTCATCATGTTGGCCAGGCTGGTCTCGAACTCCTGACCTCAGGTGATCCACCTGCCTTGGCCTCCCAAAGTGCTAGGATTACAAGCATGAGCCACCGCGCCCGGCCCAGTTGTAATTTTTATACTAATGACTACTCAATTGATGTACCAAGCCAAACCTCTCATCCAAGCCTGGATTCCAATACTTCTAGTTGTCTACAGAACATCTAAATCTTACCATTTGCAAACTGAACACATCATCCTCCCTCTGGTTGGCAAACTAGCTTTTCTCTTTCTCCTATCTCAAATCTTATCTCAGCAGAAGCCAAGGGTTCCATATAGGGCTATCTGTAGAGAAGAGGGTGCTCATCCTATTTCAGCTTTCAGAATTGTGATGGGTTATGGTGGTCTGAGACAGAGAAATCAATTTGAAGGAATTTGACAGAATATTATAGCTAGTTATAATGGGTTGGATAGTAAGCTGTTAGACCTTCCCAGAAAAGAAGTTCTCGAAGTAAAAGGCAGAGTTCTGACCTTTTATATAGAAACCGGTGCAATGGTTATGGGTGGAGGGGCAGCTGTTAAGGATGTCCAGTTTAGACATCTCTTAGCAAACTGGAAAGCTATCTCCTTCATGCCTATACCCAAGACCCATTTGTTAATTACATGCATGTTGTCTTAGTCCATTCGTGCTCCTATAACAAAATACCACAGACTATTTTATAAAGAAAAAAAAATTACTTTCTCACAGTTTCAGTGGCTGGAAAATACAAGGTCAAGGCTCTAGGCATTTGATCTAGTGAGGGCCTTCTTGCTGCATCCTCACATGGCATAAGGTGGAAGGGCAACTAGCCAAGCATTGCGGGACGCCTCTTTTGTAAGGGCTTTTTAACTCCATTAGCCAGGAAGAGACTGTAAGGCCTAATCACCTCTTAAAGACCATCTTAATACCTATCTTAATCACTTCTTAATACCATCATATTGGCAATGATTGAACTTTGGAGGGGACACATTCAAATCATAACATATGTTGTAATAAGCTGCAAAATGTAAGTTTTAATAGAATAAACTTTTGTTTACCTCTATCATTCATTCACTCTATGAGATTTTTGCAGTAAAGTTTTATCCCAATATTATAACGATCTCTCAGGAAATCTCTTTATGTTCTGAGATCATCTGACAGCACCATGTACAATCTGTCCTTCTCATAGGAGCAGATGAAATCAACCAGTGGTATTGATGGTTATCTTTTCTTAAGCCGGTTATTGCAGGCATCTGTCTGTCTCTTTGTGGAAGACTCCATGCACACTACCACAGGAAGGAGATCTTGTGATGTAGGCAACTTCCTGGTTAAAGCTCTTGTCAGTTTAAACATGATTACTTACTTTCTGACGTTTGCACTAAGTAGAAAAATATGCTCCTTAGAGTCCTAATGAGTATCTACTTTAACCTACCCCAAATGAGGTAAGATCATTGGATATCAGAATTGGAACACAATTTATGTCCTGAAAAAAATAATGAGAAAGATCAAATAAGAGTTATGTAATCTTACTGCAAAAACCTAGCTGTAGGAAATAGATACCTTCTATCATCTGTCCCAAAAGATGGAGTTGTCTGAGCCACTAATCCAATTCTAGGGATCCAGATGATTCAGGTAATTCATGAATCCCATCTTCAGACAGAAGGCAAGAGCAGTGCATGAGATATCTCAGTAGCATGACATTCCATTTTATAGGAGCTAAGGGGAAACTGAAACTCTGTGTAGAGTCTCTGTCTCTTAGTTTACTGAAATTTATCTTTCATTGTAATAAAAAAGATCTGACCCAAAGGAAAAAAAACATTGTCAAAAATTTTGGTATTTCTCAAGGCACCTGAACAAATATACCATAGCCATCTAGGGTTATATTGTCACCACCAGTTGTGTAATTAAAACAAAAAAAAACTTTAAAATTAAGTATCAGCAAGATATAATTAAGAAGAAGAATGTCCTTTTATGTGTGACAAATCATAAATAAATGTATGTAAATACTTAAAGACTAAAGCTAAGTTATTTGTAAACTATTCATTTTTAAATGATTTGTACAAACATTCCTCTAGGATATGACATTTAAAAATAAAATGTGATTCTATTTATAAAGTCTGTATTAAGCGGAATACTGTATTAAATAAATATATCTAATATGAATGGAATTAGAACTAAATTTTAGTTTGCACAATAGATATCTGTCCAAAAAACTTAAGATTACAGAAAAGGCTACAATGGCTGACTTCCTTTGGCAAATGGTGGCATACTGCAAGAAAATTTTATCAGAAAATTTTTGTTTTGTCCTTATTTTAACCTGAGAAAGCTTATAATTCAATTCCCCTTACAAATATATCATAATAAAGATTAGGTGAATTTACCTTGTAAGAGGAAAATTGGAAAAGAGGAAATATCATATAATTTGTAACAACATTTGCAAGGAAAATTCTATAATATGTGTCAAATATATTTAGTAAAACCAGAGTTTATTGTTTACCATGTAGCTAGAAGTCCTAATATATTTCTTTGCTCTTTTTTCCTATTTTTAATATTAATATAATCTGTTCCTAAAAACTGCCCAAGTCTTCACCAGCCAACTTAAGGTGATTTTGTGACACCCCATTAAGTTATCATTTATTCTCATTGATCTCATCACCTGCAAACTTTTCAAAGATACTGATACTCTACCTGTCCTTCCTAAATTACTACAGTTCCCTTCATCCCAGTTTCTACTACTACAAGTCGTTTGAAACCTGCTTATGAAGATTGTCACTAATAACCTAATCCCCAAATCAAACCACCTTTCTCTCTCCCTTTATCTCAGTCAAGTTTAATCAAATTTAGCCCTATTAATGTTCCTCTTTTTCCTTGAAATTTATTCTTTAGGTGTTTTATTCTAGCTTATCCCCCGCATTTCTTTTTGACAGCTCATTTTCAATCTCTACCTCTTCTGCACACTAAGGGCTTTTCTTTGGTTCTGACTTTTCCTCTTATTCACAATTGACGGTTCACATGACCTCGTTCTGTATTTCCTCTCTCTCATTTTCCCAGGCTTAAACACTTGGAGAGATTTTCTCTTAACACTCCTATAAAAATGTGAGTTTATCTAATGGAGATTTAATAAAGCAAATGCTCTCTCCACAAAGAGATATCGCTGGACCACTAAAAATTCAACAATGTTCTCAACTAAATTTTCTCCATTTGTATTATTAAGGGAGACTAACTAAACCCACAGTTCTCCACAATGACAACTGCCCTTACAGATTTGCTTAAAAAAAGTAGTCCATATATTCGCTAAAATCTAGAGGATATTTAATAATATGAGTGCAACTCTTTTCTCCTTTAGGGTATGGACAGGAACGTTCATTCGAAGTCAAGGCAGATGCCTAAAATATTGCAGTAAGACAATCTTCTCATTGTCTGTAGCAGATACAGACACTGGTTACTTCTCCCCCAAATTCACTCATACGATACTGAACTAACTAATGCTATGTTAAAGCAGAAATATGCAAGAATGTACCCTTAATAAATAAGGTCCCTGCTTAGTTGTGGTGGTAAAATGTGAAGGGAAACTCAGGCAGTAAACAAGATCAGAGAAAAAAAGGAGGCAAGACAATCATAGTTGACAATAGATCTGTTCTTAGTTTCAGTTTTGTCACCAATATCTCAGAAACCCAGAAGCAAAGGATGTATGGCTAATTCTACCTGAGAACTTCAGTGTGACTCCATTTTGATGCAATCAAAACTTGAACTCATCTTCCAAGATTGAAAGCAATGGCCCCCCTACATACTACATACCACTGTCATTGTCATTGTCATTTCTCCTTAAAATCATTTCATCCCCCATTGTATGTTCTATTTGTGAATATCTTCCTTGGTCCATGAATCTGCCTTCACTCTCCGTATTCTTCTTCAGACCTAGACAGTATGCTCTTAAGAACTGAGTAACTTCATTCAGGATATGGCCACTACTATGAAGATGACTTTTGGACAAAGGACTGGTTTTAGGAATCCTGAAAGTTTCTGGGAGACTTTACCAGTCTTATTTCTGCAAGTCATGATTACCACACATTTTGTAGCTAAACAATTGCTGTTCCTACACTGTAAGATCATCATCTTGGTAAGTGACATTTTCATCAGTATGGGTTATTCTTTCATTCCATAATATCCTATGACCCAGACTAGGCCTTTGGGTTCTAGTTCACCCTTAGATATTTATGTTTTATGTTCTCCTATGATGGTTAATTTATCTTAAGCATATCTCAGTCCCCAAAAAAATGCTTAATTTTTTTTATATTTTTAAATGACTGTCACAGCAGCATTATTCAGAATAGTTAAAAAGTAGAAGCAACCCAGGTATCCATCAGCGAATTCAGATTAAAAAATTCTGCAGGCAACCAAACTTTTAGTCAAGTGAGAGGAAATCAGAAAATGCAAGTATCCATTTACCATTCATGGGGGAAATAATTCTTTGATACTTGAGAAAATACCACAGCTGACTAAAAGAATAAATAAAACTGTTACATCTCAAGAGGTAATATGATATTAAAAATTGATTATGTGTACTGCATCCATTAAAATTCACATTAATAAATAATTACTAGTTTTTAACATCAATATGTTACATAATTCTTGTATCAAATATATTTCTTGGGAAAGAAAATAAAATAAAAAATAATATTTTTAATACCAGGAATTTGACCTAAAAAACTAATTAATTAATACATGTTGAGCAGGAGTAGAGAAGAGGAAAGTAAAAGTGTGATAAGTCTCTTATATAGGAGAACCAGTAATAGTCTTCCATTCTTATAATTGGTTGAAAATTACATATATATGCTAATCTCTGTGTATATGTATATTTTTATATACATATAATGTGCATATGTGAATATATATATAACTGTAGAACAAAAATGTGCATTCTACAAATGGGAATATAGAATAAAATTTGTAGAAAAAATAATAGGAAGAAAGAGGAGCTACAATGACATATAATGTATAGGGAAGAAGAAAACAGTAAGTATAAACCACAAAGAATAAAATAAAATGGCAAAATAAGACTATACCTGACTTGGCATAGTGAATATAAATGGCTTAAAAGATAACAAAAAAAGGCAAATAAAATCAGCTTATATCAAAAGGTAAAAATCTAAATTTACTAATTATAAGAAGCACATGTATAAACGAATTGACAAAGAAATGTTGAAAATAAAGGGATTCAAAAGTTTCCCTGGTCAAAAGGAACATAGAAAATTTAGAGGAATAGACAGGTAGAAATATTAGAATCAGACACAGCATCATGTATCATGGCAAAAAATATGAAATGGATAAAATGATTATTATACACCTGTAAAAGTTACAATGCACAGTGCAAACATAAGCATCACAAACAATCCATACACTGAGGAAATACATAAAATAAAAACTGTTAGGAAGGAAAGGAAACTTTACATAAAACTTTAACATAACTGTAACATACATCTAGGAGATAAAACAGAATTTCCGGAATGACAAAATATCTTTAATAGGCATGACTAAGCTTTACACTATACAGAGAATATGCCTTTTTCTGTAACATCCACAGAACAAACAGTAAAATTCACTATAATGGTTTTAATAAAGTGTGAGTATTTTGACTCATCCACCCCAAAAGGGCGTATTCTTTCTACACTAATTGTATAGCTCAGGATGTTAGGAATTAACCAATATTCTTTAGTCCTTGAAAGATCTTAACCTTGAAAACACTCAGAGACAACATACAAATAAAACCCACACCAGCTTTTCTGTGTGCTTTATCTGACTGTAGTAGGCTGAATAAAGGCCTCCAAAGATGTCCCCATTCTAAGCCCTGGAACCTGTGAATGTTACTTTACATAGCAAAAGGGACTATGCAGATGTGACTAAGAATCTTGAGACAGGGAGATTTTCCTGGGGATTATCCAGGTGGGCCCTAAATGCAATTTCAAGTCTCTTTATAAGAGGGATTGAGAAGGAAACTTCATCAAAGAACAGGAAAAAATCAGTGTGACCATAGAAGCAGAGATTGAAGCGATGTGGTCACAAGGCAAGGAATGCTGGCAGCCACCAGACACCCGGAAGAGGTCAGGAACAGATTCTCCCCCGGAACCTCCAGAGGGGAGACAGCCCTGCTGTCACCTTGATTTTAAGCCAGTGATGTTGATTTCAGACTCTGGCCTCTGGAACTGTGAGTAAATAAATGTGTGTTGTTTTATCCACTAAATGTCTGTTTTAAGCCACCTACCACAGGAAAGTAATACTCTAACCTCCAGCTAGTTTCTCTCTCTGGGACTCTCCCTGTATCAGCAATGGTACTATCACTTTCCTTGTCACCCAATCACCATGAACTTCTCCTCTCTCGCACCCATACCCAAAGTAAGGGGTAGTGGGAATGGGTGGATTTTCATCCCACCTCTTTTTTTAATGAATAAATTAAATAAAAGAGTATCTCCACAAGTTTGCCTACCTATCATTTTAAAGTAAAACCACCGTAAGTTTGATTGTTGACCTCTCTGGTGAAATTGCTAGAAATAAAGAAAGTATCTTACCAACCTAAAGGAAATGGAGATAAAAGAGTTGGAGAAGAAGCAGGATGCCTAAGCCTCGTCTTTAAAAAAGAGGTTTTTTACATATCTTTCTCTTACCAAACTTTAGGTTGCTAATACATTTATCACTATAATTTTATTTTTAATTAACATTCCTGGTGAAAAATGGACACATTTGATAGATTCAGAGGCTGTAATAAAGTCATCTGTCCTAAGAACCAGGAAGCACACAGAGTGATGTAGTTCACTAAAGGTTTCCCCCACCTCGATTTACATGGGCCTTAACTTTCAAGAGATTCAACATGGCAGCTTTAATAATAATAATAATAATAATAATAATAATAATAATAATAATAAAAGAGAATCTTGTGTGTCCTTCAATAGTTGACTGAAAGTGTGGCAGGCCAGGTCTCACTAACAGCTGAATAAGCAGGCCTCCATGACAACTGTTTCAGCACTGACTGAGTGGTTAAGATAAATATTAAAAACTGATGGGGCCAATGTCCTCATACAAAGGCTGGAATGTAACAAAACCCACCAAGAGTTTTGCCTAGGTCTTCCCTGGGCCTTGAAGTATGACAAGATAACAAAGGAATTCCTAACAGGACCCATTTAGGATTAAACAAGTTTTATTGGGGGTCTAAAGGAACTCCCTAGACCTCCACAAACAAGCTTTACTGGGGACTAAAGGAACCTCCATGATTTAGCAGGAGACAAGATAAGGGTAATCACCCTGGCACCTGGACCCATTTAGATTAAGAAAATTTACTAAGGCTCCAGAGGAAGGTCTTCAGTACTCAGATTTTAGTTATAGGTTAGAAGTTGATTACTTGGCCGGATGGGGTGGCTCACACCTATAATCCCAACACTTTGGAAGGCCGAGGCAGGTGGATCACCTGAGGTCGGGAGTTTGAGACCAGCCTGACCAACATGGAGAAACCCCATCTCTACTAAAAATACAAAATTAGCCTGGCATGGTGGTGCACACCTGTAATCCCAGCTACTTGGAAGGCTGAGGCAAGAGAATCACTTGAACCCAGGAGGCAGAGGTTGCAGTGAGCCGAGATCGCACCATTGCACTCCAGCCTGGGCAACAAGAGCAAAACTCCGTCTCAAGAAAAAAAAAAAAAAAGTTTATTACTTATGTCTTTAGATGAATGCACACTTACATACTTACACATAGACATATAGCTTAGAAGGTGTATAAGCTCTGGAAAACTTTATAATTTTGAGTTGGTCTGGCAATATTTCCCAGCCTTCTCTCTGTACCTAGTTATATAAATAAACTCCCTTCTATCCAGTTCATCTGCATCTCATTATTGGGCCATGAGAATAAGCATAAAACAAACCTTCCTTTGATGCTGGTATCTAAGTACCAAAAAATAGATACCAGCATCAAAAGAAGGTTTGGATACAACCTTCTTTCATTTTGTTTGGATACAAGGAGCTAGTTTGGGTCTGCTCCTTTAATGTATCTATGCTCATATTTTCCTTCCTCAATTATAAAATAAAGTAGAGGTGAACACTGTGGTTAGCCATAGATTAACCAAGAAAGCAGAAATCATCTCAAATGTTCACAGCAGAAGGAATGGAAAGCAGTGGTGGGTCCATGAAGAGTGGAGAGGCTGAGAATTAAACAGAGGGCTCTAAAATAATCCTGGGAGATTGACGATAGCAGGAAGTCTTTATCATTCTTGGGCTGGAGAGACAAAAGGAAAACATGGAATTACTGGCACCAAGAGGACCACTCTGGGAGACTGGATCTCTGGTGGCCTTGATACAATGGGGGCTGGAGTCACAGAGAAGATAAAGCCACTGGAGAGGCCACCTTAGGCTGAAAACAGGAGGGAGTGTCTTGATAGCTCCCTCCCCCAAAAACCGCTCCTCACCCTGCTCTCTAATTTTCCATGGTTGATATATTCCTGCTGCCCGTTGACTCAGTCCTTTCAGAAATTCTCTAGAGCCTGAAAAAGTCACCCTGCCGAGGATCAACTTCTTCACCCCAGAACAAGGCAGAGCAGAAGGATGGATCTGAGTGCAAACAGGTCCAGGACCAGCACACCATATGGTAAAGTGTTTTTATGGTGTTATATAATAGAATATATCATTGAATTCAACTCCTTCATTTTACAGAGAGGAGCTAGGGTCCAGAGAGATGAAACTGTTTACCTAAATGCACACACACAGCAAGCTTTTAGGTCTGAACACACAGCATGCTTTTATTAGGATTGTATTAGTTATGACACTGCTTAAGCCCTATTATAAAGTTGTTGGGAGCTGAGTCATTTCATAGTCATCCCTAGTACCTGATACAGCATCTGGTGCTTAGAAAACTCTCATTAAAACATTTATTGAATTCATACAGATTGAAAGAGAAAACATAGCCTATCAACTGATCTAAGGTAGCTTTAGAAAATTTCCAGTCATATAAGAGTTACTGAGCAAAGACTGTCAAAACAAAGCAAAGTCTTTGTTAAACAAAGACTGTCAAAATTATGCCTCTTAAATGTTTCAAAAGGGAATCATACATTCTCACTGGCCTGTGACGGTTTAAATTTTCTATGATTCAGAACAAGAACAAAGATATGTTTCTTTTAACTCTCATACTAAACTATTATTTGAAATAATAAAAAGGATGTCAGCAATGAAAAGCTGTACAGGTTGTACAGAACAGATTGATACAAATAAAAAGCTAATAAATATTTATGTGGCCGTGTGTGGGAGGTGTTGCCTGGAGTGTTTCCCCCACATCCCTGACTATGGAGTGAAAAAGGAAACTTAGGAAAAAATATACCCAAAGAGGGAGATTTAAATAGCACAGTGGGCAGTGGGGGAAGTGATGACTAATATTGCTGTTAGTAGTGGTTTAGGAACAAAAGAGACAAGTCAGCTGGAAACCTTCTGGTGTCTTCTGCTAGGGCTCCTTGCTAAAGCTGATGCTGGAAAGGAGGAAGGAAGGAAAGAAGGAAGGAAAAGAGGGAGAGAGGGAGCGAGGAAGGAAGGAAGGGAAGTCATTAGAATGTAAGCTGAACACCCATTTGGTGCTTTTGGCCAAACAATAATACACATGTTTAAAAGTTCATTACGGTGGGAACCCAACTTAAGTAGAATTAATGAAATTGATACAGAACTTGAAATTCACTACCTAAAATTATTCATTAAAAATGCAACATGCATTGAATTAATGTAGCAGCACCTGAAGGAAGTCAAAGAAACTCCAGTTTGAATTTTGGGAGAAAAGAAAGTATCATTTAATTTGAAATAAATGAAAAGAACCTAAAAGAGCAAATGGCTAAATAAGTAGAAGAGGTTTTTTGCAACCTATAATTACTGGGGGATTTTTTTCAGGAAGCTTCAGGAAAGAAGCTCCGACCCTCAGATTAGTCATTCATCACCCAATCACTGGCTGCTAAATTAGAGGCCAGGAAAAAGAGATCAGACATGTGCAAGAAGGAAGAAGAAGAAGGAAGAGGAGAAGGAGGAGGAGGGTGGGGGAGAGGGAAGAGGAAGGGAAGGAAGGGGAAGCAGCTGTCACTTTTTTGTTTCAGTGAAACTATACAGGGCAAAATCCCATTAGAGCTTTCTGAGAAGTTATGTCTGGGACAGATCTGATGGTAGGCTTGAAACTTCGAACAGAGTCCAAGAAAAATCCCCCCCTTTTTTTTTTTTCTTGGTTTTGTAGAATTTAGAACTATTTTTCTAGGTGTCTGAAATAAAATAAAATTTTAAGTAGTTGAAATGTTAAGTAAATTGTTTTCAACAATTTGCAGATTTATGTCAGAATATATGTTATGGGATTAAGCAGATAAAATAATAATATTAAACATCAAAGTAAGAATAGTGTGAGAGATGAATAATTTAAGGCAATTTCAGTTGCATGAGGTTTTTTTTCTTTTTCTTATGAATAAAAATATAATATAGTTTTATTACTCTGTAGAGAGGTTAGTAAACTAGGAGAAACTCAAGAGGGGAAATGCAAAACATAATAAAATAGAATACATTCGATTTTAAAAGAATGTCTGTATTTCATTTGAGTGCTGGCCAAAAGATAATGGCATTTCTTGGAAGAAAAGCAGTTATCAGAATTTAAAATTTCAAAAACCTGTATTAGGAAGACACATCACTTATGTAGTATGTAGTATTCTTGTCAACAATATTTTGTCTAAATCTAATCATGATGAAACAATCAGAAAAATCCAAATTGAGAATAATCTGTAAAAGGAATGGTCTTTGTTTTGTTACATGTATACATATATGTAAATATATATCCCCAAAGCCGACCTTGAGAAGGAAATTCACTGAGCCATTCCTTACGAGTGTTCCCAGGAGAAACAGGAAAGTGAGAAGTCAAGTCGGTCCAAGAAGAATAAAGAGGCCAAGCCCAGTTGCATATCAGCAATCTCACAGAGAGAGCTGCCTCAGTCCCTCGAGGGTAAGTAGATGACCTCAGAGTTGTCCCATCAGTTGCTGCTTCAGAGCCACACTTTCAGCTCATCCTTGCACTTCATGCAATCTGTGAGCCCCACAGGCAGAGCAGGTCCTGGCTGCCTGAGGTTATTCCCTATGAAAGAAGCAGATCTAGGTTCCCACAGCAGTCTCGGCTGTAACTAAACAGAAGGCTTCATTCATGATTGGATTAAGGATGGGGGAAGGGCAGGTGGCTATGAAGGTTATTACTTGGACCACAAGGACAATTTTTAAATGAGCTGTACATTAAATATTTAATTTTATTGTTGTTAAATTTTGAGTGTGATAATTATGTCACGCTTATGTGGAAGAATATCCATGTACTTATAAGATACATACTGAAGTATTTAGGACAAAAATGCTGTGTCTAAATTTATTCTCTAATAGCCTCACAAAAGAAAAGTAATATTGATGTGTATGTGTGAGTATATGAATGTATATACACACATACGTGTATACATATACATTTAGTATGTTTATGTATATGTTTGTAGACAGACTAAAATAGAGGAAAATATGGAAAAATGTAAACAAATGGTGACTCTAAGTAAAAAGATATATAGATATTTATTGTACTATTATTTTAACCTGTAAGTTTAAAATTTTTCAAAACAAATAGTAGGAGAAAAAAATTAGCACTTGTCATGGTAACTTTTTTTCAAGAAAAGTTGTGTTTAAGATCAAACCAGGTGCGGTGGTTCATGCCTGTAATCCCAGTACTTTGGGAGGCCAAGACAGGAGGATCACTTGACCCCAGGGATTTGAGACCAGCCCTGATAACATAGTGAAACCTGTCGCTACAGAAAATTTAAAAATTAGCTTGGCATGGTAAGCTGTAGTCCCAGCTACACAGGAGGCTGAGGTGGGAGGGTCGCTTGAGCCTGAGAGGTCGAGGCTGCAGTGAGCCATGGTCATGCCACTGCACTCCAGCCTCAATGCTTTTATAAGTGTTCTTATATAAGCAATAAGTAAATTGCTTATATAAACTCTTATATAGCTATTTATTTATTTTTTTGAGATAGGGTAGGCAATACTCTGGTAACAAACCATCCACAAATCTCAGTGGATAAAAACATAAAATCATTGCATATTGCATTAAGCTGCATTGAAAACCCAGTAAGAAATTTGGTGTAAATAAAATGAAATAAAAATGGGAAAAATAAAGTCCTTAAGATCATTGTGTTAGGAAAAATTGTCTACTGACTTCTTGACAACAGGACTTATTTATTTATTTTATTTATTTATTTAATTATTTTGAGACAGCGTCTCTTTCTGCAGCCCATGCTGGAGTGCACTGGCGCCATCTTGGCTCACTGCAGCCTTGACCTCTGGAGCTCAAGTGATCCTCTCATTTCGGCCTCCAAGTAGCTGGGACCACAGGTGCGCCACCCAACCTGGTTAATTTTTGTATTTTGTGTAGAGACAGGGTTTTGCCAGGTTGCCGAATCTAGTCTCGAACTCCTGGGCTCAAGCCATCCATCCACCTGGGCCTTACAAAGTGCTGGGATTATAGGTGTGAGCCGCTGCGTCCAGCCAGGACTTCTGATTTCTTTACTGTTTATTAGAGGATGGACCCTATTCCCTCCAATCATAACTCACTTTTTAAAGCAGTGATTCTCAGCCCTTTTGGTTTCAAATTTTTGGTAGCCTATTTAAGGAGGAGGTTAAGATACCCAAAATATCGCCAGTCAAGTCCTGAATCATTACAGTGCATACTTCCACCGTAAAATTCTGTCCCAGAGTGTCTGAAAAGCATCCATAACAACTCATCAGCTCCATGTAACTAACTGCTTCAGTGAAAATGATTATTGTCTTGACCTCATTTCTTTATACTTAAAAGGACAAATTTCTCATATGTTCCAGAAAGTATGCCATCTTTATTTAGCACTATGCAGCTCATCTCTTACTTGCAGCAAGTTGTACCCAGTCTACATAATTTCTGTAACCTACTACTCCATCCAGCAGTTATTTTTGACCAGCACTGCTGCAATAATACATATACTTGTTTAAGCAGAAGTTAATCTTACACATTGGTTTTGACAATACCACTGTTTCACAGATATTTCCTGTTCTGTCTCCTTACATCCATATGGTAAGATTGTACATGCTGGTCCCCTTGTGGTGGGGTTAGGTGACCAGTTCTAGCACTTGTCACCCGTAAGTGATGAGTAGAAGTGACAATCCACTTCTGGGCCAGAGTACTTAAATGTTGATGGTAAACCCACCACATTTCTCTCTTTTGCTTCCAGCACAGTGACCCATGATATTCAAGGTGGTGGCTCCTTTGTCAGATGAATTCCTGAGTGACCATAAGCAGAGATCTCCTAACGACCCATGATGGGTAGTGTGAGCAAGTATGAACCATCTAGTGGAGCAAGAAATAGTGCCTATATAAGCACTGAGATTTGAGGATGGTTTGTTACCAGAGAATTGCCTACCTTATCCTGACTGATAATCAGATGTAATAATATACCTCTGACTGGTGTTGGCTCCATCATACACCAGGGAAACAGCTGTTGTCTAGTACTTATAACATGTAACTCAAAACCCCTGGTTTAAATGAATTCCTGAGTGCATTATGCATAACATTTGTATAATTGGCTTTTGTAAACAAGACATTGCTATAGTTCTTCACAGAATTATGCTAATATCGATAGATTATTCTTCATTTATCTTTATCTGTTCTGAGCGACTGAAAGAGGAAAGATTTGTTATGAGAACACATAAATACAGTATCATGAAAGGGAAAGAAAAAGTTCTGTTTTGCGGAAGGCATTAGTCCCCTTTGTTAGTCAAATGAAGAGAGACTATTCATTATACTTTAATCTTAAGGAATCCAAGATTGCTAAACTAATGGATGACATGTGACTAAGGAATGAATTAGTTGAACTTTATTCTATGAGTTGCCACCATGAACTGTGCAATTATAGCCAGGTCCTTTAAATGCTTTGAATGTTTTTCATGTGCGGATAAGATTATTTCAGACCTACCAGGCCTTGAAGAAGGATCAAAGTCTTGTCAGAGCTTTTGCCTAAAATTGAAAATATCATGTTACTTGGACTATTTATTTATCCCTGCACCTTGTTGCAAAAAGGATTTTAAGTAGATGGCATATTATTATTTTATTAACACATTAAAAAAAACCCATAAGAGGATTATAGAGTTTTTCCCTAACCTACTTCTCAGAGTGTTTTAAGCACACTGTAGAATTTATTCACTCATGAATTTGATACAAACTAAAGTGAAAATCTCTTCTCTGGAACCTCATAATGCTTAGAAAGCATAGTAACACGTTCGGAGAAAGAGGAAGATCAAATTTAGAGGAAGCTCTTGTTTGAGTTTCTGCCACAATGAGTTTCCCATTCTAGATATTAAAATAATAGTATATACCCCAAATAAAATACTCAAGTTTCTGTAAATTAAGGATTATGACTTGATTATACATATTTTAGATTTAGAGCATGCATAAAAAAATATCTTTTTCACCAACTAGTAGAAAAAAATTCAAAATAATGTGATGATTTTAATCTTCCATGATATGTAATCTAAAATATCAAAACATCACTGACTTTGCATTATAATTAAATATAAAAGGTGACTGACTTAAGCCAAATTTAAAAAAAAAAATTGAGACAAGGTCTGTGTCATCAGAGGTGGTAAGCAGTAGTGCAAACACAGCTCACTGCAGCATTGACCTCCTGGGCTCAAACTCTCCTCCCATCTCAGCCTCCCAGGCAGCTGAGATCACAGATACACACCACCACACCCAGATAATTTTTTTTTTTAAGTAAGGACAAAATCTCACTATGTTGTCCAGGTTCCAAATAAATTTTAAGAGCCTAATTTTAACTATTCAAAAACTAAGCAAATACCTGAAAATTATTTCTTCTGAAAAACACATACTAAATAAAAATCTATTATACTTATGGATTTTCAGAGGTCTTCATAAGTATTAACTCATAAATTCTTGTGGCTTTCCCAATTGTCACATGTCTCCTTTCATGAAATATTTTGTAAATTTTTACTATGGTATTGGACAGAGCATGAACCTCAGAATTGCCCAAATCTGAGTTCACCGACTTAATCAAGCACATATTAATATATAATCTTGGATAATTTATCAATTTAAACTGAAGAGCTTTATCTTCAACATTTCTAAATTATGCGTGTTATAAACAATAAATCAGGTTATTCCATTACATTTAATAACTAGCAACCCACACTGTGATAAGTGTCAGTAATGCAACAGCACGGTAATATATAGGCAAAGCACCAACCAGAAATTAAGTATCTGTTGAATTTCTCTCTACTCTCCTTTTCCCTCAACCAATTCCTGAATAAATGTAGGGAGAAACAGGAATGTTTTAAGAAATCTTCTTCAACTAATATGAAATAGGATATCTGAAGACTCATCCTTCTGTCTTCCTAGTCTATAGTTTGTTCCACAGCTATTTTTGTGACTAAAGATACTAAAATTAGACATTATTTTTATCTCTAAATTTCAAGGCAGTTGTTAAGAACTATGACTAAACTACCAAAATAAAGAAACATAGAGGAATAATGAACATTGACTACAAACTAAACTGATTGTCACATATTCTATGTGGTGATTTGAGAGACTGCTTCTCATACACTGTAATTCAATGAAAAAATAGCATATACAAAATGATTACTTAGTAAGAAAAATTCAAACTTAAAACGAGTTGTCAATGTGACATGCCATGTTAGAAATGAATAATAAAATGTGTGCCAAGGGCTAAGTAAGGCATTTTTCCCTTTTTTTCTCTTTTAAAAAGGACTACAAAAGAGCAGTTTTTTTGGTTAAAAGAATTAATGAAAATTGCTAAATCAATGACGCTTTCAGAAGTTCCCTGTTTTTGACATCAGAGTCATATTATAATGCTCTATTTCCTGTTTCCTCACCTAAACAGAATTTTGCTTCAGGCAATTTTTTATCTCAACTTCTGTTTGTAGAAACCAGGGACATTTATTGAATTGTTTCTGGCTGGCTATTTGATCGTAACAAAGCATTTAAATGATACTGATGCCCTGGCTTGAGCAACGGAGCATCCCAGACTTTCAGTTAGTTGCACACAGCACACATACAACTCATTTGAGTTACAGCTAAATGCAATTACAGGCCTCAGAGCTAATATATAGATCACTTCTTATTTAAGGCAATTCACCTTTGAATTGGTTAACCTTTAATTGTTCATAAAATAATAAGATGGGAAACAAAGTTGCTACCCAATATGTTAGTTTCCCCAAATAAACACTTATTTAAAGGTTCATTTGTTAATCAAGTATCTGGAAGTTGAAATACATTTTTATGAAAGGAAATAAATTTTAGGTGATGATTAGGTTTTTATCAAGAGCTGAAGTTTTTAATAACGAACAGGGAGAGATACTATGGCAAAACAGTAATTGAATAAAACATAAATTCAATAAAATGATATGAAAAATCAATGTTTGACATTTATTGTGCAGTGCTGGCTGGGTGCAGTGGTATGAGCCATACCACTGTGTACATCCTCATCTGTCTACCAAATATGGCCCCCAGGCAGTTTGCTCAAGGTCACATACTGGTGGAACAATAATTAGAAACATTTTATCATCCTCAATTTAATTCTCTTTATATTTGACTCAGGATAAATGTCAAACATTGATTTTTCATATCATTTTATTGAATTTATGTTTTATTCAATTACTGTTTTGCCATAGTATCTCTCCCTGTTCATTATTGGTATGAGCCATATCACTGCACCCAGCCAGCACTGCACATTTTAAGTGTATGTTCTATGAGTTTTGAGAAAGGTATACATGCATGTAACCACCTTGCTAATCAGGATATAGACTATTTCCATCACCCTCAAGGAGTTCCCTTTTGCATTTTGCAGTCCATCAATCTTCCTCTACCCCTTAGCTCAGACAACCATGAATCTACTTTTTGCCATTATAGATTAGATTTTCCTGTTATAAATTTTTATGCAAATAAAATAATATACAAAATACTTATTTGTGTCTGGCTTCATTAACATAGGATAATGATTTTGAGATTATTGATGTCAATCAGTGTTATCGTTCATTATTTATTTCATTGTTGGATGGTATCCCATTAAATTGATATACCACAATTTGCTCATCAATTTACTTTTCTGTTTTTGAGTTGTTTCCAGTTTTTAGCTATGATGAATAAGGCTACGGTGAACATTCATGTACAAGTCTTTGTGTAGACAATTGTTTTCTCTTGGTAAATACTTAGTGGTATTATTGGGTAGTATGGTAAATATATGTTTAGCTTTACAAAGTGCTGCACCATTTTAATCTCCCACTGGCAATGTATGAGTGTTCCAGCTGCTCCACATTTTTCCCAATATTTAATACTGACAACTTTAAAATATTAGACAATCCAGTGGATATATAGTGATATCTCATTTAGATTTTAATTTGCAATTCACTGATGATATACTATTGAGCATCACATCTTTCATAATGTACTTTATTTTGCGAAGACACATACCCAGCATATGGAAGACCCTCAATAAATATTTGTTGAACTTACACAAATTGAATACAGAAAATGCAGCTCATCAAAGGATTTGAGTTAATTTCCTGGCATTTATGAAATACCGAGCAAGTTATCAAATGATAGCACTTAAGCTAATTCTCAAGTATTTAAAAGAAAGTGTACATCCTCATCTGTCTACCAAATATGGCCCCCAGGCAGTTTGCTCAAGGTCAAATACTGGTGGAACAATGATTAGAAACATTTTATCATCCTCAATTTAATTCTCTTTATATTTGACTCAGGATAAATGTCATTGATTTTTCATATCATTTTATTGAATTTATGTTTTATTCAATTACTGTTTTGCCATAGTATCTCTCCCTGTTCGTTATTAAAAACTTCAGCTCTTGATAAAAACCTAATCATCACCTAAAATTTATTTCCTTTCATAAAAATGTATTTCAACTTCCAGATACTTGATTAACAAATGAACCTTTAAATAAGTGTTTATTTGGGGAAACTAACATATTGGGTAGCAACTTTGTTTCCCATCTTATTATTTTATCAACAATTAAAGGTTAACCAATTCAAAGGTGAATTGCCTTAAATAAGAAGTGATCTATATATTAGCTCTGAGGCCTGTAATTGCATTTAGCTGTAACTCAAATGAGTTGTATGTGTGCTATGTGCAACTAACTGAAAGTCTGGGATGCTCCGTTGCTCAAGCCAGGGCATCAGTATCATTTAAATGCTTTGTTAAGATCAAATAGCCAGCCAGAAACAATTCAATAAATGTCCCTGGTTTCTACAAACAGAAGTTCAGATAAAAAATTACCTCAAGCAAAATTCTATTTAGGTGAGGAAACAGAAAATAGAGCATTATAATATGACTCTGATGTCAAAAACAGGGAACTTCTGAAAGCGTCATTGATTTAGCAATTTTCATTAATTTTTTTTAGTCCTCTACGACGGGCAGCTAGCAACTCGACAGGAAAATACAGGAACCTGAATAAACCTGACCTGTCTTCAGCATCATTTATATACTGCGGTTATGCCCACGGAGGTTCCTGGACTGCATGTTTTGATTGGATGAGAAAAAACCTCCAGGCTTACTCTGATTGGACTTTATTATCATGTTCTGATTGGTTGAGAGTAAGTCTTAACACAACCAATCACAGCATGAAAACAAAGTCCAATCAGAGTAGGCCTAGAGGTTTTTTCTCTCATCCAATCAGAACATGTAGTCCAGGAAACGCATTTGCATAACCTCGGTATATAAAGCATGCTGAGGTCGTATCAGGTCATTTCAAGCTCTTCTGTGTCTAGAGGAAGAGCTACCCCGTGACCGGCTTAGAGAACTGGAAGAGGCCGCAACCTTTCTCCTGCTTGAAGCTGGAGGATGGATGGAGTCTGGAGCCCTGGAGCGTGGGACACTGTTTCGCTGTGGTTGGTGGTGGCGACAGAGCAGTAGGAGAGCGCCCGGCAGCGGGAGCTTCTCCTGCTGGGCTGGAGGACTAGGAGAAGGAAGAGGCACTGCCACATGCTGGAGGCTGGAACCTGTGCCACCGTGGCTGGCCTGGCTCTGGTTGGTTCGCCTCGCTGTGGTTGGTGGTGACGTCGGAGACTGCAGCTCGGTCACAGTGGTAGAAATGTGATGGGGTAGGTGAGTTTCCCGGGGCTGCCCTGCACGCCTCTGGGGGCAAGGGTTGGGTGTCCTACTGGGGCTCACTGCTAGAGGCTACCCTGCCTGTGGCAGTGGTCTGGTTGGGGGCACTCTCCGGGGTGGCATTGCTGGTGGTGGGGCAGGTTGGCTGGCTATCTGGGGCTATACTGCCTGCGGTGGCAGGGGTGGTCGGGGAAAGCAGATTGTGTACACTAGCGTATACTGCCGGTGGCTGGGGAAGGATTAGGGGCGCTATCTTCTGCTGCACTGCCAGCGGCAGGGGGTGGGTTGGGTGGAGTTATCCAGGGCTACAATGCTGGCAGTCGGGGGTGGTTTAGGGACGTTGTTGGATGCTGCACTGCCTGGGGCGTTGTTGGGTGCTGACTCGGGGTGGTGCGCCATCAAGAGCTGAACTGTCCGTGGCGGGGTGGGAGGAGGTGGGTTTGGGATGGTATCTAGTGCAGCAACTCCCGTGGCTGGGTCAGATTTGGGGCACTGTTGGGTGGTACACTCCCTGCAGTGTGGGGGGAGTGCTTTGGGGGAGGTATTGGGGTTACATTGCCTGAAACTAGGGTGTGTTGGATGTGCTATCCGGGGGCTACACTGCTAGTGGCAGGGGTCAGATTAGGGGTGCTGTGGGGGCTACACTGCCAGCGGTGTTGGCGAGCTGAGGTGGCGGCAGCGGCAGCGACAGTAGTGGCCGCCTCTTTCCTTCTGGTGGTCTCCAGGTAAGGGATCGTTCTTCTATTCCCGGACTCCAGACTCTAGAAGGCGATCTTCTCCTGCTCGTGCTAGATTGCACGGCAGGGCTCCCACACCCACTGTGGTTTCCCGGCACGCCCTCATGCTCTGTGTTGCGGAGACCACCTGGGACTACCAGGCAGGGAGTAATAGGCACCCACGGGGGAAGCAGGGGACAGGGCACTGTGGGTGGAGGCGTCAGGAATGGGAACCAGCCCTTGGGTGGGGAGGGCTGGCTGGTTCTGAGTTTCTCCTACTCGGGCTCCCTGAGGAGGGCAGCCCTGGTGGGCCCAGCAATTCCTGGTCAGCTGGAGTTGGCCAGGGGCCGGTTTCAGTGAAGGCATTCACTCCCACCCCAGACCCCAGTTCCTGGCCAGCTTTTGCCAGAAGGAGAGGCTGGACTTTGGAAGGTGGATGTGAGTGCCTTCAATGAAACTGATGCCTGCCACCCAGTCACCAGCGTGACAAGGTGAGGCTCTAACGGTTCCACTGTCTGAATCCTGATTTGGGCTTTTCTGGCTTTGCCTGCCCAGCTACTCCAAGCCAGGCTGAAGGAGGAGAAGGCGAGGAGTCGCCTGTGGTAGGGTCGAGCCTGCAGATGACGTGGTTCTGCAGCTTGCCTCATGCGGTTGGTGGTGGCGATGGAGACCACAGATCGACCGGAGCGGGAGGAGGGCACCCACGGGGGCCAGGTGGTAGGAGCTGGTAGGGTGGGCTGGTACATTGAGGGCGACAGTGGTTGTATTGGCATTGGCGCTAGTGGTGGTAGCAGTAGGAAGTCTGGGGGCCGGGAAGGGGGAATAGGAGCACTGCAGGGCCCATCCCACTCTGGGGTGGGGAGGAACCTGTGGGTGCTGTAACACAGGCTTCGGTGGCAGTGGTGGTGATATACCTAGGGCAAAGAAGAGTTCTCCCCCTTTCTCCTGCAATCTCTGGAGGGTGCCCTCCTGCTGGTGCCTGAGCTAGGCGTGAGTGGCAGCATTGTCTCATTCTTAACAAAATTTAGGGGATGACTATTTGTGTATCCTTTTGCTTGTTTTTTGTTGTGATAGTCTTTGAGTTACTCAAATTTTATGAATCGAGAAGGGGATAAGAGGTATTATAGGCCTTCTAATTCCCATACCTGTTCTTTTTCCTTTCTTCCGCTGTGTGTTTTCTTCTCATTTTCTTGTTCCTCTTCATTTTCTTTTGCTACTGCTTCTATTTCATGTTTGTATTCTTGTTTCTTCTCCTGTTTTTGTTTTCTTTCTCCTCCCTGTAATCACCATGATTTATAATTCTACACTTGTTTAATTGTGTCATATGTATTTCTTTTATAGCTCATAATTTCTAGGAGAACTAGTCAGCCTTGGGTATCTGCAGTGCCTGGCACAATGTAAATTTTAAATGAATGAACATAAATAAATTGTATTTCCACAATTTTGAATCTTGGTATAGTGGAAAGAATATCACTCTGGAGGTCAAGGGGCTGTAGTTCTTGTCTTCTCCATGAATATTCTTTATGTGCCGCTTCTACCATCTGTGAAATGAGGGATGGGAGGGGGAGCTTGAGGAAGTGGTATTAGATGATCATTAATAGTTCTGTCAGCATATTCTTCTAGGGTTTTATGAATGTTATAATTGCATTTTAGACCGTAATAACCAAACATTACATATTGATATAATTTTTTATGTAAGTGGTACATGATCAGCATTGTCCACATTTACAATCGATGGAGGAACAATGAAATTCAGTGTTACGTTAATGGACAACTGGTATCTTATGGTGATATGGCTTGGCATGTTAACACAAATGATGTAAGTCTATTTTTCTGTCTGTGGTTTAATTTGAGAGTATGAGCTATCATTACAATATGAATTGAATAATAAAATAGTTTGGTAGAAACTTAAAACTTTGAAAGTTTTTTTTTATTAAACGAATCTTTCATTGTTAAATTTAGTATAAGAAAATTGTTAAAAGACATGATTAGTGATACAAAAACAGGAACATTTGGCCAAAGTTTTAAGTTTTTTAGATTAAAAAAACCGTGAATCCTGTATTCTATTTATTCCAGCATCAAGCACTAAAAAATGTGGTTTACCCCTTATTTAGATACAGAAAGAAGACCCTAAACAGAAGGATAACATATAGTCACTATTATTAATTACATCGTGATAAATGCTATGGAGAAAATAAATTGGGGATACAGAAAGTGTAGTTGTAGGGAAGGGAGGAGCCGGATGGTCCAGAGATGATTTTAGTAGGAAGAGTTGAGCAAGCGAGGTATGTGGGGAACTTCTTCTATTCAGTGGGAACAGTGAGTGCAAAGGCTTTGAGGCGGAATAGGAAAGTTCAAGGAAAAGGCAGTTTGTCTGGAGCAGAGGGAGGTAGAGGCAGAATAATAAGAGATGAGGTTAGGCAGAAATCATTTTGGCCTTCATAAGCAAACGTAAGGCCTGGGCTTTCGCATCTTACTCAGCTTAAAAATCCTTGGAAGGTTTTCAGCAGACAAGTGATGTGTGCTTATATTTTAAAAACATCAGTCTGCCTGCAGTATTGAGAATATTTTGAAGGGAAATTACAGAAGCAGGAAGATCACTTAAATGGCTTATTGCAATAAAATAAAGAGATTATATGAGTTTCTACCAGTATGTTAGCAGTGGAAGAAGTGACACAGTTGGATTCTAGGTAGAGAACAACTTGAATTAAAACCTCAAGGGTCCTTACGGTTTCTCTACTTGGGGCTTTCCATTGTCTACATTCTGGCCTGTCAGAGTCAAAGTAAAAGGTTTGTTTTAATGCTGAAAGTACTTCCAAGCTCAATAATATACAACCCTTCAAGCATACCTGGTTTTATAAGAACTTACCTCTTAAACACAATTCATTTCTCAGTTTTGTTTGCATCTCTCTCTAGGCTTTAATTTCCCAAAGGGCAGGGATTTGCTTATCGTGTCTTGTATTCGTTTAACTAGCACTGTGTGTATGGTCCACAGTTTGTCCCCTAGATCGGGGCTTGGCAGACTACACCCTATGAGCCAAATCTGACCCTCCCCCTGTTTCTGGTTTTGTGTAAGCTGGGGCCTAAGAATCTTGGCTTTTAATTTTTAAAGGTTTTTTGTTTGTTTGTTTCTTGAGACACAAACAAAATCAAAGAAGAATGGGACAGAAACCAGGTGTGGCAAGCAAAGTTTAAAATATTTTCTGTCTGTCCCTTTATAGAAAAAGTTGCTTTTCCCTGCCGTAGAAACTCATGGTTGTGCCACAACCAATTAATATTTAATAGAATGTTGTTTTCAGAATTAGAATAGACAGATGAAATTCTGCTTTTTATCTTCTCTCCAGAGGAGATCTCTGCAGAGTCTTTTTATTATAGAGTGGAAGAAATCCCAGTGGTCGTCTTGACTCATTCAATGAGAAGACAGTATCTTGGAAAGAAAAGACTTCGTTTTTTGGTTATTTGTAATAGTGCCCTAAGAAGTGGAGAATTCTAGATAATGACACATACTTTATGCAGTTAAAGTTTAAGTTCCTATACTTCTAATTAAAGATTGGGTATTTAATGACGACAGTTCTTTTTGCCTTTGTATGCATTCACAATTCTTTTTGTTACTTTATTGAAGGACCAAAAGTACTTCTTACATATATGATTCTTGCTTATTCATTCTAAGGTGTGAAATAGCCTTTGAGGATAGGGGAAGGGAACTGAGCCATGACTGCTTTCCCTGGTTTGGGTGGGTGGGGTGTAAGATGTAGAGGCTGGAAAGATCTTAAGCTTTTGGCTTCTTCAGTGCTGAATTCCTCAATGTGGAGAGCACTGTACCATCTGCTTTAAGCAGCAGATTATAGTCTTATTGTGTGTTTCGTTCTGTGTAGTTCCTACTCACACACGAGCGGGGATTTATTTTCTTTGTGTGTTTTACTAAATATGGAGGAATAGAGGAATAGATTCATAATTTCAAAAATAAAGTTGAATTTAAAAAATTAGACCCTATGTTTTCATGATTACATTTTGGAATAGTCATTCCCTTGATTCAGATCAATCTCTCTATATATGGATCATTATACATCATGACAGTTTTAAATTATTTTAACGTTTGTAAATAAATAAATATAAGCTCTTTTGCCTTTAACTATAATATTTGAAAAGTAAGTCGGAAGACTGAGTAGGTGGCTATTGTTTTGTTTGCTTAAATGTAAGTGTAAAACATGTAATTGGTCATTTTTCCCAAAAAACTTGACTGGCATTTATTATTTAAATAATAAAGTCTTAATTGATGCTTTCTTCTATTATTATTGTTATATTTTAAAATATTCCTAAAGGCCGATTTAAGGATTTAAACCTTTTCATCATTAAAAATAATGCATTTTTAATGACTTTTAAAAATAGAGCTATGACAAGTGCTTTCGTGGTTCATCAGAAACTGCTGATGCAAATAGCGTATTCTGTGCTAAACCTGTTGCCATTCAGTGAAGCACTCAACCCAGCACAGATATTTGCAATTCATCAGTTAGGACCTAGATATAAGGTAGTAATAACTGTAATTTTATAAATTCTAGAGAGCGTTTTAGATGTAAAATGTGATGTAATATAACTTTTAGTGAAAATCTTTCTTTAATACAGTTTAAGAGTCATTTCTATTTTTTGGAATGTAGTCAGTTTTTATTATATGTTTCTTTTCGGTTCAAAGGTGCTTTTTTCTCAACTTTTTTTATAAACTTTTTTATTCTTCAGAATATTTTCTAATATTGATAGCATGCCTTTTAACAATTCTGAAATAATCTTATAAAACTGTTTTGCTTAATGTAGTATTTAAAATACAAAAATTTGAAATATATATTACATAATGAACATAATAAAGAACTTGTTAATATTACTGGTAACTTGGAAAGAAGAGTTAAAGATTTAGAAGGAATCTAAGATAATATATTTCATGGGCCTGAAATTATTTAATTTTAGTTTATATTTTTGCTTTAATTGCAGTGAGGAAGTAGGTACAGTAGTGAGTAAACTAATTTAGCAAAACTAATTAATGTAATTTATCATTCTTTCTGTTTTTTAAACTTTAAGAACAAAGACTAGGTAAGATATAGCATGCACATATATGAGTTAGTTTTAAATGTGCGGTACACCTGGCTAGGGGAACATATTAGGGTTCTGTTTAAATCACACTGGGAATTGTGAAGTCTCAAACTACTTAGAGCTGAAAGAGAATTACACATTATAGTCAAAGTGTTTATAATTCTGAAGGAGTACTTGTCTTGTACGGAAGTGTGGTTTTTTTATTGAACTCAATTTAATTAATGTGAAGATTGTGTAATGGAAAGGAAAAACATAAAAAAATTCCCTCTTTGGCCTCTGTATTTTTGCATTGGTATTTCTGTTTTTATTTTTGTCATATATATATATATATATACACACACACACACACACACACACACGGATATATATATAGAGAGAGCGAGAGAGGAAAGTTTGAATTTACCCATATTAAAAGATCTTTTTTTCTCAGTGACTTTAATAACCATGATAATATTGAAGGATAATAATGCTATTATTTTTATGTCAAGGTAACAATACTTGCTATCATATATTTTCCATATCATTTTTGTTTTTGTCCTACTAGCTCTAGAAATGAATTTGTGCTTGTCCAGCTACTTTTTCTTTCATGGGTCTTTTTGTCGAGTTTGCATCCTGGTTCTGCCATTGCTGATCTTGCATAGGAATATTTTTGTAATTCACATTTTTTATTAATATGCTGCCTGCTTTTCTTTTCTACTTCTTTGAGTTGTTTCATAAAATGCTTGCAGTATCTTTTTAAGCTCTAATAGAATGATATTAAATAGAGTGACAAGCAAACAAATGAAATATAAAAAGGTAGAGTATCAAGAAGATACAAATCCAATATGATTGCTAATGTGAAATCTCAGAATTGATGGGAGCTTCCTGGCAACATCAAGGAAAAGGGCTGAATATAAGCAATTTTGTAATTCTTCTATTCACAGAGAAGCAAACTTTGTCCTGAACAGCTTTGCAATCTCTGTAGTTTGTAGTATTCTTTTCACACGTCTTTCTCGTCATTCTTTTTAACAACAGTGATAATGAGCAGTAACCCCGGTCATCATACGTGCACAGCTCATGTGACGTAGTGTATCCTTAATATCCTAACACACAGTGTAGAGTACCTAAAGTCAGAACTTTTAAGAGAGATACCTGTAAATTTGGGCATTACATCAGAGAGTATTTTTTTAAGTTTTGAAAGTTCTCAGCTCACTGCACCCCTTGTTGTTAGTGGGGGTTGATAAAGCCAAAGGTACATGCATTTCCTCAATTTGTAAATAGTATAAGTACAATTGCACCATGACAGGCATCAGCAAAAATTTTTTATATTAAAAACCTTTTTTTTTTTTTTTAGAAATTCAGAGAACATAGAGAAGGAGGAATGCAAATGATCAGATTGTGTTTTGACAGAAGAAAAGCTGAGTAGTTCACACATAGTCAAAATTATCTTGCTAAAGTCACTCTCTGTGAGTGAAGCGGGGTAGAGGGCTACAGCGGAACTTTTAAGGTGTAGAGAATATAATTAACTAATGGACATTTGGATAAATCACAAAATGGAGTTTAAATTACTTAGTGTTGTATAATAACAGTATTTATATTTATTGCCTTCAGTTATATGGAACTTTCATTGTAATGGTCAGACAATATTTATGATTCTGAGCTTAGTGTAGATAGCATGTCAACATATGGGCTTCAAAATTAATAAAATAAGTTAATTCTACCTTCAAATAATGCCATCAAACTATATATTCAATGGAGCCTGTCACAAATGATTTTGACCTGTTGGTCACTGTAGTGCTAGGTAAATTTTTTTCTGTTGATATTTGGTTTTGAGCATTGCAGCTTATCAGTATATATTCTGTACTTGGTTATTTTCTGGAAACAGTAAATAAGTTAGGGTATCACTTATTAACTAAATAAACCGTTCATTTTGGAAAATACAGAAATACAGAAAATATTTAAAATAACAGAAAATCTCACTGTAGATTTGTCTAGTATAGTAAAATTTACTGCCAGGTAAGTTTACAGTGGCTATTTGGGGTTATTTAATGTCTTCAAGATTGTGTATGAGGTGGCCCTTTGACATAAGCTTGCAAATCAGATTTTAACAAAGTTTTTATATTTTATAATTATTACTAGACATTTTCTCATTGTTCTGTTAATCCCGTGTGGCAAGCAGTTAGTCTTCATGGCCAGATATTTGAAAATTTAGCTTTGAGTTCTCTCCTTCATTTATGAATATGATAGTATAATAGTTTTTATAATTTGCTATATCATAAAGAAGTTCTAACTGATAAGAGAAAAAGTATAACACAACCTCCAAAATTAAAGATCACTTCAGAGGATTTCTGATACTTGTATAGAGGGGTGAGCTCCTAACAAACTGATCTTCTCAAAAATAACCATTTGTAAACTCTGCACATAATATAGATAACATCTATCTGAGGATTGTGAAGATTGAATAAAAGCAGGCGAGGGTAGTCAAAATATGGAACAGTCAGTCTGCATGGACTGATATCCCCATTTTTTGCTTTTATAGGAAACTTTCTGGCCAGAAAGTTTCTCTACAGTATTGTACAGAGTAATAGTCACACTATTTAGCATATAATCCAAAAGTACTTATTCTAAAAATGGTCAGGAAAATGTGACTTATTCTCAAGGGAAGAGAAAATCATCATAGACCAACTCTAAGATAACCCACATGTTGGAAATATCACATGAGGTCTATTGTAGCATATGGTTTAGCCCTTTCTAATGTTGAACTGTGAAGGAAATTAACTCTTAGAACTTACTGTGAGTTTTTTTGTGTCACTGAAAATTATCTTGGATGCAAAATTGTTTTGGGTGTGGAATTGAATTGATTAATGTACAGTGAAGTCAATTTCTGCTATGATCACTCTTATTTAGGAAGAGTTTTGTAGTGAGAGAAATACTATAGAAACTATGATATTAAATATTTTACGTAATTTTAATCATCTTTTAAAATATTTCACTGTAATTCAGTCCTAAATTAGGCTTAAGAGATGAAACCTTTTGAAAATGTCAAAAGATTTTTTCCCCCTTACTGATAACCGTAAATCCGATTTGAAACTTAATCTACTTGATTACTTTGCAACATTCTTTTAAAAGTGGAGGAGGTATTGGATTTTAGGGGGGGAATCTTTACTTTTTACGTAAGTTATTTCCAGTCTTCTTAATAAAAAGATCTTTATTTAAAAAGCCAATCTAGCTGTGGTACTTTGCTTTTTCAGTAAAAACCAAATTGAATAGCCAGTTTATGTCTTCAGAGAGCTACCTTTGAACAGAACTTAGGTTTATATATTCACTCTTAATCATTTTAGTTATGAATTAGGTGTATCTTTATGATATATTGAATTCTAAATAATAAAAGTACCTCAAAAATAATAAAACTTCATGGATCACATTACATGAGTTATCTACATTAGTTATTTTAAAAAATTAAATACAAATTGAAATGGATAAAGTTATAGTAAAATAAGTCAAAATCTATATTTAAATTTTAATGGCATATAAATATATGTATATTATAAACAGGTTAGTTATGTTTTTATACATAGTTAATAAATATTCTCAGGTATTTGTGGGCCAAGACTGTTGTGGCATTCTTTATCAATAAAGGCCAAAAAGCTCTGGAGAAATAATAAATATGCTAATTTATAAGAGGTATTATTATGCTATTTCTTTCATTTTTTTCCCATGGTCTAACCCTTTACGATCTGATACTTGAAATAAACATTATTTTCTAACTTAAATTAAGCTTATTAAGAATTACAAGATGGTAATTATTTTTAAGAAAAAACACCCACTAGATTATTAGCATCATTTTCCTTAAAAAGATACAGGATTACAAACTCTCATCCATTCCTGAAGTAGAATTGCTACTTATAGAACATGTGTTATAGTACTGTCTGTTGAAAAGTTGAGCAATTATATATCATGACATAATAATCAGCATACTTTTGGTCTATAAAATAAAATACTCCTCTGAAAATCTTTTCCTAGGTATTGATATAGTTTTCAAGAGAGTGTTCTATGTTGTATTAGTTTTGGCTGACAACGATACTTGCTTTTTGGTTTATCCTAGAGTATATATTTAGATCCTCTGCAGATGAACTGATGCGTTCTAGAGAGGAAGTTGTATGTAGGAGATATAGGAATGGGCTGAAGTATCTTTTATATTTGCCTTTGTATCTAGGGAAGTTGGAAATAGGCAAGAATGGAGAGAAATTTTGTATGGCAGTACACAGAATTTTGCAAGTTTATTGTGAGCCTTGCAACAATCCGATGCATTTTAGTTACTGGTAAGTTTGTTGAATTATGTTTGAAAATGTACCTCTTCAAAGATGGCCATCTATTTACTATTACGTCCACCATGTCAATTATACCTTATTGTAAAGATTTTTTTTTTTTTTGCAAAGATGTGGTATTGCTATTGCATTGGGTTTTAGGTATAAATTGAAACTACCTTTGTTAGTGAATGCATTTGACATTTCAATTGGTGTCCTAGTTAATGTTGAAGTGAAATTAATACTTCATGGATAGCAGAGTCTTGTTAAGATTTTGGAATAATAATATTAATATTTCAGTTTTTATAATAGAGCTCCACTGTGTTTAGAGGTCTGAGTTAACTCATTAGATATTTGAGAATGAGTAGTTATTCTGACATAAAAGAATGAGAAAATCTGTGTCATCCTTGCAATTGTATATGGTTCTATATAGTAGGGTGATTTACTGTAAAATACTTTTTTGCCTTTTTTCATGGATCATAAGGACCACTGTGAGGCATTTCTAGTCTGTCTTTTTGGCAGTGCTCATGTTTAGGAATCCATTTTCCCTCAATCACTAACTTTGGTGTATGTAAGAATTCTATGAACAGATTAGGAAATTGTGTAATCTCTATGCATGGTTTTCTTTATTCTTTTTACACATCTAGGCAGATGTGTTATGTGTAATATAGTACTTAGCAATTATTTGTGAAGTGGCCTTGACTATTCAATTCATTTAAAATGGACTAGATTGCTTAATAGCTGTGCTTCTTTACAGAAACGTTTTTTAAAATCCCAAGAGACTCATTGGTAGTTGTAGTTTTCTTGTAAGTGTCTATCTTTGGCTTAAGGACAAAGTAAAAAAAATCATTGATATGTGATAGTTTACATTTTTTGTGGTTTAAGGATATAGGGTCAGTTAATATAATTGAATTTTAATTTCCTATAATGAAGTGCTTTATTTCTGGATACTATATTTTGTCTAGCTGATATGTAATTCATTAAACTATCAATTTTTATAATAATGACAATGATAATTTTGCTGTTGGTTCTTGTTATGAGAACATTTCTGATTTGAACAAAAGTAGCCACATTATGAGAAAAATACATTATCCCTATTGAAACTGGAAGAGCTAGAATAATTCAAAAATTAGAATAACTTCAGATTCCTTTCGGGCTTTAATAATTTTCAAGTTTTCCTTATTACCAAATTGTCTGAATTACTTGTAAGAATGAGTACTTCTGCATTTAAAATATGTTTAGAAATTTGTGGTTTTACCCTTTCTTATGAATATAAATAGGTAATTTAGGGTATATTATAAAACATTGTAAATTGATATTCTTTTAATTGTTGATAAAATCTGGTATATAACAATTTATTATGAGCTACATTAAGCATATACAGTGAAGGAATATGTATTTCCATTATTCAGAATACTATATTCATATATCAGTGTTGCTGGTTAAAATCATTATATGTAACTATGAAGTAATATATTATCAAAGCTTAATTCAATGCAGTCATTTTCTATTTTGTTTCTTCATTCATTCCAAAGACATACCAAGTGCTAAATCTTTGACGCCTCTGTCTGCCTTTATGTATTTGTTTATATACTGTGTAATTGTCACTTTTCATTTCAATATTACATAAATCATTTCTTTGCTCTCATGAGCTTTTCTTAGGGCATACCTGGACATAAGTGACATGTTACATATTCCTCTGGATTTTTTTTAACAAAGTGTTTTTGAAGAATAGTTCTAAATGAAAAGTTTATTTAAAAATAGGGCTTGTTCTTACAAAGCAATATTGCATCTATATTTAAAATTCTCTACAATAGCTTGTTATTCAAAATAATAGTATGATACAGTCTTTATTATGGAAAATGATGTGTGTATGTTTCTTAGGTTTACTTGAAGCCAGACCTATAAATATATGTAGAGATAAACTTTGATGTTTTACTTTGGAATGTAAAAAAACTACACAGTTATGATTCAGTTTATTATATTTAATTTGTAAAGGACAATAGTTTTCTCATGCTTATCAGGAAATATATTCTTTCATAATATAAGGCATAATAGTCATTGTCAATAAAATAGAGATTAGATTTGAATATGGTTATCTCTTGGCATAATAAAATACTGAAATTGGAACACTGTGTTTAGAATAAACGTGATGATTACATAATGATATCTGTACTTTACATGCAGTGCTACTCTTTCGGCATTCCTGGTTGAACTACTTAAAAGTTCAGTAGCCATGCAAGAACAGGTGCTGGGTGGAAAAGGCTTTTTAGTTATTGGCTAATTACTTGAAAAGGTAGGTGATGTGTTGATGGTTTTATTGTGTAGCCTCACAGTTGGACAGCTGACAATCACTAATTATATTTTTTCTATAATTTCACTTTCCATTGACTGTGTAGAGATTATACTATTTGCTAATTCACAAACACCTTAGATTTAAGTGTAGACATGGAATTAACTGGGTATTGGAAGCATAATTAAATTTTGAATTAAAAAACTAAAGAAAAAAATTTCATCTATATCTATTCAAGCAATAAGTATCATTTCTCTTAAGTTTTTCTATAGTAGTGCCCCTTTATTTCTACTCTCTCTTTCTAAGGTGTCACTTACCCATGGACAACTGCAGTTCAAAAATATTAAATGGAATAAACAATTTATAACTTTTAAATTGTGTGCTGTTCTGAGTAGAGTGATGAAATCTCGTACTGTCCCTCTTCATCAAGTCCGGACATGAATCCTCCTTTTGCTCAGCTTTTTCATGCAGTATACACTGTCTTCCTATTAGTCATTTAGTAGCTATCTCAGTTCTCAGACTGAAAATCGTATATATCATCCACTAGGGGTCTTGGAAGCATCGCCTCCGGATAAGAAGTGAGTACTGTAGTTGTTTCTTTGCTATCTTTTCACTTAGACTTTTTTTTTATTTTTTATTTTTTTTGAGACAGTGTCTCACTCTGTCTCCCACACTAGAGTGCAGTGGTGCGATCTTGGCTCACTGCAACCCCCACCTCCCGAGTTCAATCAAGCAATTCTCCTGCCTAAGCCTCCCTAGTATCTGGGATCACAGGTGCGTACCACCATGCCTAGCTAAAGTTTTGTATTTTTAGTAGAAACAGGGTTTTCCCCACGTTGGCCAGGCTGGTCTTGAACTCCTGATCTCAAGTGATCTGCCCACCTCGGCCTCCCAAAGTGCTGGGATTACAAGCATGAACCACTGCGCCTGGCCTTAGACTGTTTCTTGAAAGTCTTTTTTATTAAGATAAAAATCTTTATATTTAGTATACATGGATTTACCTGTTAGGTTTTGTGTTATTTTTTAATTATGCGGTCAAAATTTTTATTTTGTAGTAATAGAAACATTATTTTGTGCTCTTTTTCCCTACTCTTAATATATATGACTATTTAAAGTAGTTTTTCTCATCTATACATAGTATAAACAATAAAAATTAGATGGGTTTACATTTTCCTATTTTGTGTCATTTATGTTGTTTTATGACCTCTTTTGCTTTAGTCACAGCTGTGCTTTTATGAGTGCTGAATTTCTGATTATGATCTCACAAGAGTTTAGTTGTATCATGTGATTTCCTTTAAAATTAGTGAGATTTCATGAATAAGCGTTTTTTTATTTTTTATTTTTTATTTATTTATTTATTTTTTTGAGACAGAGTCTCGCTGTCGCCTGGGCTGGAGTGCAGTGGCGCGATCTCGGCTCACTGCATGCAACCTCCGCCTTCCGGGTTCACGCCATTCTCCTGCCTCAGCCTCCCGAGTAGCTGGGACTACAGGCGCCTGCCACCACGCCCAGCTAATTTTTTTGTGTTTTTAGTAGAAACAGGGTTTCACCGTGTTAGCCAGGATAGTCTCGATCTCCGGACCTCGTGATCCGCCCGCCTCAGCCTCCCAAAGTGCTGGGATTACAGGCGTGAGCCACTGCGTCCAGCCAGCATGTTGCTGTTTTTTTTAATAACAAATACCTGTGCCCTTTATTAGCACTCTCAAACCTCTTATCAGTTAGTTAACTCTATAATATTCAGCTGCTCTGAAAATGAGACTATTTGAAAAGTAATAGAAGTGAGATCTCAACTAAGGGATAAACATACATTTCCTCTGGAAAAAAATTGAGAAGATACTTTGAAGCAGTTTTAATTTTACCTCCAATTGTTTTACATTTGAAATGTTATCAGTTGATTAATGGACAAACAAAATGTAGTATATACATGCAATTGAATATTATTTAGTCACAAAAAGAGTCAAGTTCTAAAATATGCTATATTTTATATATTACATGTCTTTATACCTATATATGTTATATATATAAAAAATATGTCTTTGAAACTAGTGCTGACCTTTCCTTAAGGATTAAGCATTGAAGAGTGGTAGATTGTTAAGATTGATCATTGGTAGCATTTCTTTATTGAGATGATTTTTTCCATAACATTATTAAGAACTTAAGGCTCTTTGGTTTATTTTTTAAAATAAGAGAATACTCTTTTTCTGTATCTAGAGTATTAAGAATTGTTTAGAAGATGTATGATAAGCTACATTTAACATGAATTTTATAACATATGAAATGCCTTTGTAAGATTACTGTGTGTGACAGGATTTCTGTGAGGACTTACCCCTTTAAATGTGCTTTCATTTGTTTACTTGAGAATGTATCAGAAAATCCTAAATTAAACATTCTTTTACTTAAAACTTAGCTTATAATTAGAAATATTTGTAAAAGCCTTCAAATAAAAATGTATGTTAATATTTCATATTATAATGTCAATTTAGTGGATGCAAAATATTATTTCATTGTGGTTTTAATTTGCACTTTTCCTAGATTTTGAATAAGATTAGACATTTTCATATATAATTATGGAAAATGAATATTTTATCTTCTTTGTTATTCATTTCCTTTACCAATTTTCCCTATATCTCTTCATGATTCCCACCCCTAGTCAATCCATAATTCACTTTTTGGCTTTATGAATTGCTTATTCTAAATATTTCATGTAAGTGGGATCATACAATATTTGTCTTTTTGTATTTGGTCCATTTTGCTTAGCATAATGTTTTCAGTGTGCATCCATGTTATAGCATATTTTTTTCATTCCTTTTTATTGCTAAGTAATATTCCAACAGTATTTTAATTTGTATAGCTTTTTAGTGCAGCCTGATATTTAAGAGTATGTCATCTAGCTTTACTGTTGTTCTTGACGATTGCCTTGGCCATTTCTGAGTCTTTGCATTTCCATATATGTCAGCTTATCAACTTCCACCAAAAAACATGAGGATTTTTATTGTATTATATTGACATCTTTCCTATATTGAATCTTTCAAGTCATATACTTGGTATATTCTTTTATTAATTTAGATTTTCTTCTGTAGTTTTCTGTATAGAACAGTTTCTGTCTTTTTGATGGATTTATTTGCAGATATTTGATATTATTTGATGCCCTTAAAATTTTAATTCTTTGCACTTGATCTTACCCAAAAGGCCAAGAAGCAATTAAAAGTTTTGATTTTTAATTTGTTACTGGTACATAGAATTATAATTGATATTTATGTTGAACTTTTATATACCAATCTTTCTATTCCTCTATTAAATCTAGTCATTTGTAGATTTTTTCAAAAAAAATTTTGTAGACAATAATAACATCGGAGAATGATAGTTTTGTTTTTTCCTTTCTAATATTTATTTTTTTATTTTTTTCCTTGCCTTGTTATGCCACCTAAAGACTGCCAGTACAGTGTTGAATAAAAGTTGTGATAGTGGCCATCCCTGTCTTATTCCTGATCTCATGGGCAATGCTGTTAATAATTAGCCACTAAGTATGATATTTTTAATAATTAGTTTTTGTAGATTTTTTAGTTAAATTAAGGAATTATCTATTTCTATTTTTCTAAGAGTTTTCTTTATTATAAACAGGATTTTATCAAACATCTTTTCTGCAGTATTTGAGATGAGTATGATGTTTCTCATTTTTCTTAGTGAATTACATTGATTATTTTTCAGATTTTAAACCTTCCTTATATTCCTGGACACTCACTTACTCCTAAATCTATTCCTATTCCAACCTGTCTTTCGTTCTTCCATGTCCTTTCAGATGGCTCATGTCTTTGTCACCAGTGGCCTTCACAGTCTGTCCTGTGATTATTTCTCAGTCCTTATCTTATTCGACCTGTGAATATTTCGGTTGAACAGTCTTTCCTTCTTGAAATGCTTTCTTGCATTGTGTTTTGCCATGGTTTGCTTTGTTTTTCTCTTACTTATTCTCTCTCATTAGTTCTCCTTCATCTTTATAAACTCTGATGACTCTTCTTTCCCAGTGATTAATCCTGGAAAGCATTTCACTTTTCCATCTACACAGTACCTTACTCTAATTGAGATTATCCACTTCTACAGCTCCCGTGATCCTGTAAATACTAATTACCCTCAATTGTTTCTCCTATTTTTAGTTCCACTTGGATTTCTAGTAATCTTCTTGACTAAATTATCCAAACTGATTTTTCTCTCAAATTTTTCATCCTTCAGAGTTGTTTGTCTTATTTAGTGGCATTACCATTCAACAAGTAGTTGAAACCAAAAAGTTAATTGTTTTTGACTCTACTTTTGTTGCACTCTAGATCCAAACTCTCAGGAAATTATGTTGTTTTACTCTCAGAACATATCCAGAATCAATTACTACTTCCTCATTATTTCTCAACTCCTTACTATGTCCGTTGATACCATTTTAGTTCAAACCATGATCATCCTTCACCATTGGTTACCTACAGTCCGTTTTTCACTTGCAGTTAGACTAGTTGTCCTAAAATGTGCCAAATCTTATTCAAGTCTTCATCCTTCTCATAATGAAGTCATAAGCCTTACACCTCACATCATCTCTCCCCACTCTCTTGCTTTCTCTGTTTTAGGCAAAGGTCTTTTTGCCTTTCCCTTAAGAACTAAAATGATAAGAATTTACCCAAGGACTTTTGCATTTACTTCCCCCATTGTTTCCATCACTTTTTCTTCAGATACTCACAGAATTTGATTCTATGCTTCATTCAGGATTTTGCTTGTATGATGCCTTATCACAGAAATATTCTCCAATCATTCTAAATAAATTAGTATCCCTTCCATAACCATCAGTGTTTACCTACTCTGCTAATTTTACAGCACCATTCTGGCGTGTTTTATATTTTTTACCAATTTTCTGCCTCCTCCTGCTAGAATGTAGGCTTCATGAAAGCAGGGGCAATATATACATATATATATGTATGTGTGTGTGTATATATATATATATATATATATATATATATATGTATGTGTGTATATATATATATATGTATGTGTATATATATATATATATGTATGTGTATATATATATATATGTATGTGTATATGTATGTATATATTTTTTTTGTCTCCCCTTATTGTTATATCTTCAGCACCTAGCACAGTGCTGGGCTCAGTAAATAGTTGTTGAATTGAGTATATGAAAAGTCCTTGCATGCTTGTCTGATTACCTAAGAAACAGTAACTTTTTTACCTTTCTCAGAGGAATGCTCATATTGTGTTATTTTTAAATAATCAGTGGCCAGGTTAGTATTAATAGTATAGGTAATAGAAGTTTGATTTTTTAATTTCTTAACTTAATAACAGGTTACTGGTTAACTGCCACTTAGCTTTTATATCTCCTTGTCATAGAAGATATCTTAGGAAGATAGTATATGCGAGGCCTTTTATTAATAACAATTTTACTGTTCCATGAAAAAATTTTAAGGTGTTTTTGTTTTGTTTTGCCAAAATATGATCTTGTGGAAAACTTAGAGGTTATCCAGTATATTCAATAGGATATTTTTGATTGTGGTTAGTAGAAAATTTGATTCAAAGTATCTTAAACATTAAGAAAATATACTAATGTAACAAAGTCTAGTGTTAGATGGCATATCAGTTATATTCTTGGCAGGAAACAGATGGCGTACTCAACCTAGGTTTTTGAGAAGAGTTTAATGCAAGGGTATTCAAAAAGTTGAAAGCAGGGAGCTTGGGAAGATTTGAAGAGATGAGGGGAATAAGTGTTTAGCATAACCCAAAGAGAAAGTTATTGTAGCTATAGAAGAAGGGTGCCTGATGGGACTGTGGTCTTCAAGAAAGGAGTATAGTGTAAGTGTACTGAAGGGGTAAAATCTGGAAAATGTATACCCAACTTCATTTTCTTTCTGTCCCTTAATTTCTTGCTAATGTCTTCAATTAGTCAAACTCAACTGGAAACCAGTAGGCAAGGGAGCGTCTCAAGCATTAAAACAGGACAGGGAGGTTGGAAAGGCAGCAAAAGGTTGGAAAAGCAGCAAACATAAGTTGTGTTTCAGGGCTGGGTTATCTGAGTCTCAATAATGTCATCAGAGACCCAGGTTTTATCTATATCTCTGCTGTACCAGCTACAGTGTTGATTTTATGCTAAAGCTGATACTGTTTGAGGTCACAAGGCTGCCAGAGAGAATTAGTGCTATAGACCTTCACATCCAGGTGAAGAAAGCAAGCTCCTTTCTGTCAATTACTGAGCAAGATTCTTCTCTCCAATTTGATTGGTTAGCTTAGAGCTTGGCTGGCCTTCTTTTGAATCAATTGTTGCTATGCTACACTTTGATACTGAGTCTCTGAACTAATCATTGCCTGCCACCCTCCCCATCACTCCACCAAAACAACAACAAATGATTAATCTGGTTGGATTAGGCTATTTGGAGCACAACCTTGGAGTCCTGGGAGGAGCAGAATGGATAATAGACTATGGTGTACCTCTACAATTAAAATAGTTTTACACAATTTATTGAATATATAATCATACATGTTATGGGTATATGTGTGTGTATGTATAATGCTTTCTACAATAAAAATGAACATTTCTGATAACCTGTTCCATTATAGGCTAATCTAAATGTTGGAACAATCTCTCTTTATTGAACAGAAGTTTCTCTTTGTAACCGCCAGTGCTCCTATTTGGTTTAGTTAATTCTGGATTGGATGCTATAATGCAACTATTTTTATAACTTCTCAGGTATTATTTCCAAATATGGTTAGCCATGTCACATTATAGTACTTCTTAAAAATTATGTATTCTGTCACCACATAAAATTAATATATAGATCAAATTCCAGGGCTTACATTTTCTATGAGATTTAAATTGTTCCATCTAAAGGTTACAGATTTATAACTATAAATTATCCAAGTGTAGATCTGTTTTTAAAGTAGTTTTACTTGAGAAAATGAAAACAAATACCAAAATATAAAAATATTTTGAAACTGTTAATCAAATGAAATACATTTAAAAGCAGAGTTAGAATCTTCTTTCTTCTCTTCCCAGGCTTTGTTTTTTCCTACCTATTCTATTCTTACTCCATTTTTGAATTTGACATTAATTCAGTTAAATGTTCCCTGAGAAATTAGGGTAGGGATCAGGAAGACAAAAGATGAATAAGATAATATTCTTTCTTATATTACGAAAGAGAGATTTTTTTTTTACTAACAATAATACAAGGAAGGAGGAATAAGTACTTCTAAGAGGTAAAGGTAACATGCTGTTGAAGAGAATATTCATTTATACATTTATACACTATTTATAATCCAGAATAGTAGGATTTTGAGGAGATCAATAAAAAGACAATAAAATATTTTCTAAAGAATAATTTTAGAATGAAAATCTGCCACCCAACAGCATTAATTGTTATGTGAAAACAGCAGGCCCCCCCATTTTTTTTTAAGTAATGTGGAAGGCCTTGTGATGCTTTTAGTATACCTTTTAATATCATGGTCCAAGTTCCAAACTTGTTTCTATATTATGAATTCATCAAGTGGATATGTTTATAATGGTCAGCCTGATTTTATAATACAGGTTAATGTTCTTTATAAGGACATGATGAATAATTTTTATGAGCTACAGTCTGGTCACATAGTATGTTTATCTATTAACAGGATCTGACTGTATTTTATTTTAGAGTTTTAAGTGTGAGAGTACAATGTTATCAGATCATGTTCTTGAAATCATTACTACTGAATAAAAATAGAATGTATAAGATAAGCTATGTGAAATTATATTTAGTGAAGGAGCTGGCTGAAGTTTTAAATAACTATTGATCTCTTATTTTAATTTTATTCCTTTACAAATAAAATATTTTTAATTTAAAGTACTATATTATTTTCACTGATACTCCTTTAAATATGAATACTCAATCTTTACTTTTTAAACTCAAATGTTTGTTTTGGTTCCCCTCCTTTATTAACTCAGCTATTTATTTAGATCAATTTCCACCATCTTTCATAAAATTTTCAGTGAAAATTATGTACTAAGGTTTGCTTTGAATTTTGTAGGCTATTGCTTATGTAAGCACCATTGGTAATTTTGTCAGACAAAGAATTC